>NW_011332701.1:4835264-4998962 GCF_000001405.40 Homo sapiens
AAAAGAATTTGGAAATATAGGAAACAAACAAACATATCAGAGAAAGAAAATATATATTCTCAATTGATAAACGTCTCAGTAAAATTTTTGAAAACTTTATCTTTTCCTCTTTCTCATTATCATGCATATGCTCCCTAAGGAGTTATTGGGAGCCCCAGTAAATACCAAGTGCTGCCAAAGTCTACTGAGGAAAGACACAAGTGTAAGATGGGAAAGTGAGTCATGTCCTCTGATGTTCTTGCCTAGTCTTGACTCTGTAGAAGTTGACTGTAACCTGGCCGGGTGTGGTGGCTCACGCCTGTAATCCCAGCACTTTGGGAGGCCGAGGTGAGTGGATCATGAAGTCAGATCGAAACCATCCTGGCTAACACAGTGAATCCCCATCTCGACTAAAAATACAAAAAATTAGCCAGATGTGGTGGTGGGCGCCTGTAGTCCCAGCTACTCAGGAGGCTGAGGCAGGAGAATGGCGTGAACCCGGGGTCGGGGGAGCTTGCAGTGAGCTGAGATTGTGCCACTGCACTCCAGCCTGGGCGACAGAGCGAGACTCTGTCTCAAAAAAAAAAAAAAAAAAAAAAAAAAAAAAAGTAGTTGAAGTGGCGTGGCTTTCCATTTAGAGATTTAGGCTCCCCACTGTTATAGCCTCATCTTTTGGGAAAGCCTATGGGCATACTGTGGGCTTTCTACAGGTTAGAGGCATACAGCTGCAGCTAAATCAAGTCAATTTTCAGAATCTAGCCATCTGTGAGACTGAGGAAGTACCAAGTCTTTATTCTTTTGACATTCAGTATTTCACTGGTTTGTGTTGTACAAGGCAGAAGATACTGAAATCATTATGAAGTTTGTAATAACAGAAGTGCTTTTATTTTTGACCACAGGGATTGAGCACACCAGCCAATCAAGAGATAAATGAGATATGGAGGAAATGGGGCAGATAAGAGTGTTCAGGCTGCTTTACACTCCTTTTCACTATTGGAAAATCCAATAGTTTGGAGCAGTGTTTGTAAACTATTTTTCAAAGAGCTTTAACCTTCAGCAAAGGTGTTTCAGGGAGAAGAGGCAGAATTAGGGGATCCTCCAGATGCCAATGTTGGCAAGCTCTGCTTCAGTTAGAAAAGCTTTACTTTGTTTTATACATTGATGATTTATGTATGTTTTTAGACAAAAAGAGGTCTGCTTTTTTTTTTTTAACAGAACTTTTTGAAGCTCCTAGGGGGAAAAACAAAACAAAACAAAACAAAACAAACCTTCCTCTTCAGGAGAAAGACAACAGAAGCCAACAGAAAGCTTCTTCCTAAAGAACTGTCTATGAATATCTTAGAGGTAGACAACTGATTTAAGAAGACCAAGGGGATGATTCTTCTGACAGCCATAACCACAAGATTTCAGATTTTGGGCTCCAGTAAAACATCAAATCTACAAAAATCACAACATGGCCAGCTTTCCCACTCTCTTCTGCTTATTACTTTCCAGGTAAGTTCTAAGCCTGTGAGATCACCAGTGTCTGGCAAATACAGACAGGCACAGTGGGGACAGATCCAGATGAACCAGACTGTGGAAATAAGTGGGGCACCCATTTATTTCCCTCTCATAAAGGCAGAGATTGCCTCACATTTCATTATGATTCATTTTATTTATGGTCTTTTCTGGAATTTTGCTTGAGTTCCCTGATTTCTGCCCTATGCAACTTTCCAATGTCTATTTGCCTCCTTTGCTTTTAATAGCTTCAGAATGAAAATTAAATAGAGCTATCTTATTACACCTTGCCTATGGCTTCTCCCAACTTAATTCTGTGACTGCAATTAACTTTTTTTGGAGGGGGGTTCATCTGCTCATCCTCGTTTCCTTTCTTTCCCATTCAACGTATCTGTGTGAACTGTAACAAGACTGTCAACCTGTTAACTTTTGAGTAACTCTTAAGTATGATGCTAGGGGGGTGTGTGTGTGTGTGTATACGTACGTGTGTGTGTGTGTGTGTGTGTGTGTGTGTGTGTGTGTGTATATATATATATATATATTTTTTTTTTTTTTGTAGAGATGAGGTTTCACCATGTTGCCCAGGCTGGTCTCAAACTCCTGAACTCAAGCAATCCACCTGCCTCAGCCTCCCAAAGTATTAGGATTACAGGTGTAAGCCATCAAGCCCAGACAAAGGCTAAGTTATATTTATAATGAAAAAAAGGAATTTAGGCTGATGACTGGCGTCTGGACACAACAGGTCTCAAATCATGGTTCAGGTTTGGGTTTACACTCTAACCTATGGAATTAATTTTAGTGTTTAAAAATAGGTAACTGGCCCCTGAAAATTAGCGTTATCTTTTAAACACCTATGGGTGATATGTTAGAAATTCTCCTAAATAATATGATTGGTTCATTTCAGTCAGTACAGAAAATACAATCTGGTAATACTATCAGGGCATTTTTGTTAATACATTACTTGCTTTTGTATTGTAGACAACAGGACCAAGAAGTGACTTCAGGAGCAGAGGAATAAACTTTTGGCCTCTAATGCTACTAGCTTTAAAAAGAAAGCCCTACCAGCTACCTAGTACAGTGTGACTAAAATTAATCACCGCTCGACTCAGATCATGTATGTTTCTTGATCCAAGCCATTAAAAGTTAATGGCTTTGGAAATATTGGCAGACAAAGGCAAAGAAAAGAGACACATTGAGGGAATATGGTTCATGAAAGGCATCTTGGGAAACACATGAGATCTGACCAGCTATAATATGAATCTCTTTAAAAAAAGATTTTAATATCACTCGTTGCTAAAGAAAGAAGATAAAAATGGTCTAAAAAATGGATACGGTATGCTCTGTGTGCCAACAGGTAATGTGCCTTTAAGTCAGCATGCCACAGGAAATGTCCACGTTCCCTAAAAAGTAGGATGATAAAAACTGAAGGTCCAAGCTGCTGCACCACTGGACTTACCCTAAATGTAAAGACAGGAGTTCAGAATCTCTCTAATAAATGCAAGAGCTCTTCATTCTCATGACTGTTCAGAAATACATGGACGAACATGATAAACAAAGGAACATGCAAAAAACACATTTTTACCACTGGCTCAGTCAATTCTGGCCTATGGTCCTTTGGAATGGTGAATAAGGTTTCCGTGGTATAAAAAAGGTATTGGCCCTCACTGTAGATCACACCTGTAAAATAAATGACTCACCAGTCTGACTACCCAATATAGCTTTGCTCTACCAGTCATTATCAGGGACAGCTTCTATGAGCAAATAATGACACTCTTATGGTCTCCCTTCAGAAGAAAAAGTCAGAAAAGGGGTATATAGAGCTTCAAGGATGAAATACAAAAAGGAGTGAATATTCACTCCTTTGCCATGATCTCCTTGCAGCTTTGAACTAAGTCACATCAGGCCAAGGCACAAGGAATAACATATAGACTTTGGGGCATCAGGGAAATGGCTTCCTTGCCTCAGAAAGCTCAATATCACATGGTTTATGGCATTTTGAATAGAGAAGATTGAGGGCAACGTTTTGATCTTTTTCTCATTAGGCTTACCTGAAACATAGATGGTATTAACGCCATAAGGGCTGTTTTAAATATGCTTTCAGAGGGATATGGCTGTGTCCAGCCATCCCTCCAACCACTGCCTGGTGGCCTGAACATCAGAAGTAAGGCTCTGTCCACTCTATATAGTTTGTTCAGGTCTTTTGATACTACTCGAGTCTATACAAGGTACAGCCCCCAGTTCCCAGAGCGAAATTGTTTCTCCAGGCGAAAACGGGCTAATGTCCAACTTTGATTCTAAATAAGTGAGATCGTAGAGACCTGACCAGGGCTGTGAGGACCACTCTCATTTCTATCCATCTTGACAACAGTCACTCACGAGGCATTTCTGAATTCCTGACATAACTATCGCACGAGGTTAACTGCTATAAAAGTCAATGAAATAAGTAAAGTCACTCCCTACTGTAAGAAAAAAACAACAACAAACTCATTAATTTCTCAATTTAAAGGGAAATTTTTTCCTTGCTGCAGCAGCTGATGAAAACATCATTGACTAGGCTATGTGGAATGTTTCCAAAGGGTAGAAAAATAAAACTAAGAGAAAAGAGCCATAAACAGTAAGAAAGAATGGGTAACCCCAAGTTCATTTATCCCAGGCAGGCCAACAAGGCCACATACTTAGACAGACACACTCTTCCATGCTCATTTTCTCTTCAGAGTCTGACCTTCAGCCCTGACCGCTCTGGCACCGACCACCTCCTGTGCCTCCCAGGTCAGTTTCACTAGCAGCCATGATAAAACAGACCAGCAGGAAAGTAAGAATACCAGCAGAAAGTAATCTTAGGCTTAGCTCCTAACACACCAGAATTTAGCCTTTAAAAGTTATTCCAGTTGGGCATGGTGGCTCACACCTGTAATTCCAGTGCTTTGGGAGGCTGAGGCAGGACTGCTTGAGGCTAGGAGTTCAAGGCCAGCCTGGGCAACACAGCAAGACCCTCTCAACTAAAAAATGCTTTTTAAAAAATGAGTTGGGCATGATGATGTGTGTCTGTAGTCCTAACTAGTCAGGAGGCTGAGGCAGGAGGATCACTTGATCCCAGGAATTGGAGGTTACTATGATGACACCACTGCATTCTAGCCTGGGCAAAAGAATGAGACCTTGTCTCTTAAAAAAAAAAAGTTATTCCATGATAAATTAGCATATCACTTCTACTTTGTCCAATTGTGTACTTTGTCAAATCTAAATCTGACAATTTTCCCTACTCTATTCCTAAGATATTTTCCTATTTAAAAGTAAAAAACTTCTCTTAGAGACTGCATGCATTTCACCAGCTACACAGATCAGCCACTTCATAGTTTTTGTGAGCTATCACTTGTAGTACCCAAACATACTTTGACTTCAAGTGATTAATTGCAGAACAAAGTCCTCTTCCGTTTGCAGAGCTTCTCCCCCAGGACACAGGGGAGTTGAAGTTGGGGAGCCCTGGACTTGCCCTGGAATGCATGATCAGTTAAAGCCAATCACTCTGCACTTAGTAGACATAACACCCAGAGCCGACCCGGCGATTTAGGTGCAGAGTGAAAGGTAACAGCATCGCATTCATTTCCTCATTTAGGGAGAGTAGTCTGGGAGACAGTTTGAAAACTGAAATCAGCCCTGTGTCATAAATTTGCAAATTTAATTGAAATGCATTAGTCTTTGGAAGACATTTCCAATCCCGATAATGAAGACATGCATGTGCTAGCAGATGCAAGCTCCCCCTTTTGGTTTTGAAACCTCTACCACCTACTGAGTCTCACCAAAAACTAGCACTGAGAGCCTGTTTGCATGGGTGACTGGAACAAAAGGGTGAGGAAACAGGGAAGATTGTCTGGAGTAAGGAGTCTCTCTGGCGCCCCTCAAATCATTCTACCCAGGCAGCCCCCTGTTGCATCTCTGCCCAAGGCAGGAGCTGTCAGGAGTCCCACAGATAAGTAATTTAGAAATATTCTAGGCTGAATGAAGGAGACATACTTTAGGTTTCCATTGTTCTCTGCCAAGCTAGGGAAATGGAGTGCGGACAGATGCTCTCTAAGGTTTTGATTTGAGCTCCAAAGAGGTTTGAGGCTTGGCATAGCCATGAATCCAAAGGATCTCCACTTCCTTCTTTTTTTCTAAACAAACTGAAAGTAATACAGTCAAGAACAGAGCTGGCGATTGTTTTATTCCATTAACTAATCTTTCTTGTTCTGAACATGTCTATTCTCTTTAACAAAGCTATTAAGATTTTAGATTCTTGGGCAAAAGCAACCCATATGGGATACATTTAGGGACTTCTACCACCAAAACCCAAATAAACAAGATTTTTCATCTATCAGCAGCAGACAGCAAATCTTGCAATCAATTTCAACATGGCAAAAGGAAACACAATGATTATTTATTTGTTCAACAAATACTAACTCAGCATCTACTATATATATGGAAAAACAAGGTGCTACAGAGAAAACAAAGTGGTACAAGACATTGTAATTATCTTCTAGGGGCCTATGATTTATCTAAAAGAGAAAGTGCCTATAACCAAATGAATAAAAAACCAAATCATTAAATGACAAAACTGAAGATACAGTAAACCCCCAAAATTCTGGAGATACGATAGCTCACACAGATTGGAGAAAGCTTCATGAAGGACACCGTATGTGATCAATAAATTTTTCCAGAATAGTTTCATAGTCTGTATATCACTTGAGACATAATATTTTTAGATTATACCATTATGTAAATATTATAGTAGTTTTAAAGTAGAGTCACACACTGCATAATGACATTTCGGTCAAAGACAGACCTCATATATGATGGTGGTCCCATAAGGTTATAATGGAGCTCAAAAATTCCTATTGCCTAGTGAAGTCATAGCCACCATAATGTTGTGGCACAACTACTTTATTATAAAAATAAATTTAGTGTAGCCTAAATGTACAGTGTTTATAACATCTACAGAAGGGTACAGTAATATTCTAGGCCTTCAGATTCACCCACCACTGACTCACTGACTCACCCAGAGCAATTTCCAATCCTGCAACCTCCATTCATGGTTAAGCGCCCTACACAGGTGTACCATTTTCTATCTTTTATACTGTATTTTTACTGTACCTTTTCTGTGTTTAGATATGTTTAGATACACAAATACCATTGTGTTACAATTATATTCAGTACAGTAACCTGCCGTACAGGTTTGCAGCCTAAGAACACTAGGTTATGCCATACAGCCTAGGTGTGAAGTAGGCTACACCATCTAGGTTTGTGTAAGTACACTCTATAATGCTCGCACAATGATGAAATCACCTAACAATGCGTTTCTCACAATGTATCCCGCTAGTTAAGTGACACATGATTCTACGTGTTTAAATTAAGTGCTGCAAATTTATATTATAGGAATGTGCAAATACACAAGAGACTGGAGTAGACCAAGCACTCAAAGGAGGAAGCACAGAAAAGAAGGCAGTTAGGCTGATCCCAGGAATAACACTGCATGATTCCTCCAAACGCATGTTCAGTCACCCAGGTCCGCCTCTTTATGTCTATGTAGCCAAATTCATCTGCTGTCAATGCCCAGCTCATTTTCTACTTAAAATCACAGGAAGTCAGGGTTGGAAGAGAACTGCAAGATCACCTGAGCCCAGGAGTTTCTAAACTTGGCTGAAGGATCACTAGGAAGGTGTCAATCTCTGATCTCCAAAGCCTACCTGGTACATGTAAACAAGAGGATGGTGAAGCCAAGGCATTTATTAAGGAAACTAAACACAAAATGTGTTCTTGCTCTGCCATCTCTGTGGGGAGTTTCTAAAACCACAGATTTCTAGACTCTACACTCTGGTATTCTGATTCAGTGGATCTGTTTACATTTTTACAATGACCTCCAGGTGACTTGGGAGATCTGCCAGGTTTGGGAGCTGCTGATCTCTAACACTGCCCTACTGGCTTCTGAATCTCCTCTAAAACTATCTGCTTAGGGTGGTCCTGATTATGGCTAAGTGTCTTCTCAAAGCTCCCTGTAGCTTCCACATTTCCTTTGGATCATTTCTTCCTCCAAACTCTTACACCAGCCAAGATCTTCAATGCTCTTTCAATATCCAGCTGTGCGCTGGAGAATGCACCATACAAGACACAGCAAAGAACAGGCTTGTGTCCTAGAAGTGGAAAGATACACATAAACTGCTAAAATAACAAGTTGGAATTAATTAAATACTAAAGGATCGTAAGAAGAAAATGCTGTCAGAGCCCACAGGAAAAGCTAATTCTTTTATTAAGGGAGATTTCAGAACATTTCTACAGAACCTGGTTTCTGGAGGCAGCCCTTGAAAGACGACTCTATTTTGATCAGCAGGAAATAATGGGGGGAATGCGGTATGAAGAAATTATCCAGTGAGAACACAAGGAAAGAAAGTGCAGGTGTGAGACAGTGAGTGGTCATAGTAGGTGCAGGGAGGGATGAGGCTATAGGAAATGAGGCTAAAGAGTGAGTTTAGGGCAGGTTCTCAGAGGGCCATGCTATAATTTGGGAGAGAATATGAAGTTCTTGAAAGAACTCAAGCTTTAGTGTAAAAAAAAAAAAAAAAGACCTAGGTTCTTATCCTCATTCTGTTTATTAATGAAACTATGACATTGAAAATTCATTTACTCTCTCATGCTTAGCTGTGAAATAGCAATAAACCTTTTTTTTTTTCCTTCAGGGCTGTTGTGACAACTTAATACATTAATAAATTAAAGTACCATCCATGGCTAATTATCTTTCCTTTATTTCATGAGCAATGGAAAACCACAGAATATGTTTAAAGAGATAACTATGATCTAAATTCTGTTTTGGAAAGATAATTGGATGCAATATTCAGGGACACTTCAAGAGGAAATAGAAAACCTCTAGGCAGAGAGAAGAGTTAGAAGGATGTTTCAATAATCCAAGTGAGAGATGATAGAGTCCTGAATCAGAGCAGAGACACCTCAAATACAGGGTAAAGAACAATCACCATTAAGGGGGCAAAACTATAAAGAGTCAGAAATAGATGAAAAATAAATCTTGTAGCAGTAAAAATAATTCTCATTCCAGCCTGCCTTTTGCTAATAGGAGGAGGATAGTGTTGCAATTGAAAGTTAGGGAGCCTAAGAGGAATAGGCCTTAGTTGAGATGGAATAATTTCCAACCGAGACATATTGAATTGCAGATGAAGGCTGGGTATACAGTTTAATGTGCAGTAGGAAATGTAGGTCTAAAACTTGGGAGGCCTTGGCAATGAGGTGATAGGTGAAGCTGTGAAAATAGTTGGGACTAACAAAACAGAGAATAGAGCAGAAAAGAGGAACACTGAGATTTACCTTGGGGAAGGCCCACACTTAAGGAACAGAAGAAACAGAGGAACTAAGGAGGGAGATGAAGAAGGGGAGTAGTCACCTTCGCAGAGAGACCCAATATATTATCAGAGCAACGAGGCATTTCGAGATGGAGGAAACTACCATTGGTGTCAAAAACTAGCAGTGGCACACTTTGGGAGGCCGAGGCGGGCAGATCACGAGGTCAGGAGATTGAGACCATCCTGGCTAACACAGTGAAACCCAGTCTCTACCAAAAAAAAAAAAAAAAAAAAATTAGCCGGGCGTGGTGGCAGACGCCTGTAGTCCCAGCTACTTGGGAGGCTGAGGCAGGAGAATGGCATGAACCCGGAAGGTGGAGCTTGTAGTGAGCCGAAATCGCGCCACTGCACTCCAGCCTGGGCGACAGAGCAAGACTCTGTCTCAAAACAAAATAAAACAAACAAACAAAAAAAAACCCAAAAAAACTAGCAGTGGCAAAGAATTAGTTAGAAGGAGTCATCTGATTTCAGTTAGGAAATGTGACACAGTCTAGTAACAATCTCAATATGCAGTTCTCCTGCTTCCTTTAGTAAAGGAAACCATGAGTCTTTAGCAGGGACATGGCTCCCAGCTAAGCCTACATTTCCTGGTCTCCCTTGTGTATGGCCATGAGACTAAGTTCTGTCCAATGGGATAAAGTGGAAGTGATGTGTGCACCTTCCGGCTCATGCTATTTAATATTAAAAGGAAAGGTTGTGCAGTCCCCTTCCCACTGGCAGGAACTCAGCAGCAATGGTAGCAGTAGACCTGACGTGTGCCCCCTTACACGTTGGGAATAAGGACCTTACCTTAAGGATGGCAACCACAAAAGAGAAGAAAACTGGGTTCCTGACATCCAAACTCCTTGCATTCAGATTGTTATACATGAGGAAAATTGATTTTTCCTTTGTTTAAGCAACAGTTATTTTGGCCTCTGTTATGGCAGCCAAGACGTTATCCTTACTGAGACAGGAAGGAGTGTGTGGTACGAAAAAGGAAATAAGGAAATGAACGTAAATCATTCTTTGAAAAGAAGTTAGAAGGGAAAAGGAGACGGAATGATGCTTTCAGAGAGAGGGCCAAGAGGTGTGTATAGTTTTTTAAACCAATGATCCTATAATTCTTACAGTTTTTTAGTTTATCCTCTCTCCTTATTCATGGCATATTTTTAATTTTGCAGATGTAGTTTTAAATTTATTGCTTGGGGAATAAGCAGTTTTTATTATTTGTGATTTCTTTTTTTCTTTTCTTTTTTTTTTAAAGACAGTCTCACTCTGTTGCCCAGGCTGGAGTGCAGTGGCGCGATCTCGGCTCACTGCAACCTTCGCCTCCCAGGCTTAAGTAATTTTCCTGCCTCAGCCTCCCGAGTAGCTGGGATTACAGGTGTGCACCACCACACCCAGCCAAGTTTTGTATTTTTTAGTAGAGATGAGGTTTCACCATGTTGGCCAGGCTGATCTTGAACGCCTGACCTCAGGTCATCCACCCACCTCCGCCTCCCAAAGTGCTGGGATTACAGGCATGAGCCACTACGCCCGGCTGTTCTTTGTGATTATGACAATGTTGTTTATCAGTTAGGTCTTGGGGCATTTACTGTTTGTGTATTTGCACAGAACCATTTTCAAATGTGATTTAGGAAAATTCAAAGTTTTGACAATTAATTAGGGGGTGATTGTATTATTAAGGGATTTTTAAAAATAAGCAGCTCTTTAGTGGTTAAATGAATACAAGTCATTTAACTACATAACACAGGGCAAGGAAAAGAAAGTTAACATGTTACAAGTTACTGAAATTATCATGTATGTATGTCAGTAGGAAAGCAGAATTCAATAAATAACAATTTTATTTATGGAGCTTTTTCTAGGAGTAAGTTTATCATGTAAAGAAAAGAATTCCTGTAGTGTCTACACTGCAGTCAGTGGCTTGTGGATTGAGTGACAGCATCTCTAAGTCCCCAACTCTTGGTCCTAAAGTGACCTGAGCAGTAGGGAGCTGTGAGAACAGCTTTCAGGATAGCCTCACAACAGCTTTGAACTATCTTCTGTAAAGGGTACAGCAGTTCCATAATCACCCATAACAGCAGCAAGTAACAGACTTAAAACAAAAACCCTATTGGTAGGTGGCTGGGTAATAAAAAAACAGCCCCCTCGCCCCCAAAAGAAAAAAACAAGATAACTATCCATTCCCCTATGGTGTAAATTATAGCTATGTGTGTAGTGAAATTTCTTATTTTCATTTCACATAAAATTCACCAAACTTCTAATTCACTCATTACTTACCCATTATGGGGTTTTTAAATGGCACTTTTAAAGTTTGCTTTGGCTCAGGGTGAATTATATGCCCAGACTTTATTCCTGGAGTCATGACTCCCGTAGGCCTTCTGTACCTTTTGCAAATTCAAAGCTCATTTTGTGGGAGGCAGTGCTTCGTGTGCATGCGCGGGCATATGTGGGGGCAGTCTTAGGATATCCTAAATGGTGGAATGTTTTGTAAGTAAGGGTCCTATCACCCAGAATAATTCAGCAGCCAAAAAAAATAAAAAATAAAAAAATAAAAAAGAGTAAAGAATAGCCAATAAAGGTATCAGCAAAAATTAGGTTACCTACTTGCAGTTATGCATATACTTGGATAATCTATTGATTTAACAGGTGGAAGAAACATGTGTACCAAAAATTCATTGAATGTTTGGATATCATGAGGTACAAATACAAAAGTGCATTAAAAGGTAAAAGTGAGGCAAAGTTGCTTCTGAGGATAAAATAAACCTTGGATTATGATACATCATAAATGCAATGTTGGATACAGATGAGCAGAGAAAAAAACGTTTTGTGTACATGCTCCATAAAAAAACGTGATCTTCAAGAACAACATTAGGATCAGGCGTGGTGGCTCATGCCTGTAATCCCAGCACTTTGGGAGGCCAAGGCAGGAGGATTGTTTGAGCCCAGGAGTTTGAGACCAGCCTGGGCAACATAGTGAGACACCGTCTCTACAAAAATAAAAAAATAAAATTAGCTAGGTATGGTGATGCACACCTGTAGTCCCAGCTACTCAGTAGGCTAAGGCAGGAGGATTGCTTGAGCCCAGGAGGTCAAGGCTGCAGTAAGCTATGATTGCGTCATGGCACTCTAGCCTGAATGACTCAAAAGAAAACAAAACAAAGGCCAACATTAGTATTTTATGAGAAGAACTGGGGGTTCAGGTGAGGCAAGGTAGCTATAGATGTTTACCGATTTCAAGAGGGCAATGAAAATTCTTTCTGGCACCTAATCTCTCTCCCAACTCACCTGCAAGTCCTTGCTTGAAATATCTTCCAATATAGTACCTATAGCTCAAGAGCAAAGGTGAGGGGCACTATGGCAGAAGGGAAACACACAGCTCCTCAGAAAATTAGAACCGCAGTTTCTAGATTCATAGAGATTTTGAGCTAGAAGAGCTCATAGTCACCATTTAATTCCTGCTTCGTCCTGATACATACATTTTACAGATGTGACAATCGGGTTCCCAGTGAATAAGTGACTGGCCCAAGATCACATAGCCAATTAATGGGGGTGGGGGGGTGGCAGGGTGAAGGGTAAAAATGCCTGTTTTCAGCTCTCTGTCTCCAGGTCTTTTTTTACACTGCTCAGCACTGCACATATTCAGAAGGGATAAGAGAAGGGACTGGGATGCTTCACTGAAAGATGAGTCCTGATACCAGGGGCAGCACGATGACTGAGTGGGTCACAGACTGCACGTCTAGAAAGTGGCGCTTTTGGATTTGTGCCTGGGCTCAGAAGTTTGCTCTTTTGCTTAAGATTGGCTTGAATGCCAAGGAAAATTGAAAGCCATTAATATACCACGACACAGTAGATTACTCTTCCAAAGATATAGTTAATCTCCAGGTAAACCATATTCCCCAGTGAAATATTGTTCCTTCTGCCGAACCACAGAGTTGTGCCCTGACACCAGTTTAATAAGATTATTGTTCACTCACAAGGCACAAGAACTTAGGACATTTTTATGTGGTCATTTGTATGTTAGAGATTATTCTGGATTTTATGAGGGGAAGCTGTTATCTTGTTATGAAGATGCATTCATCTCAATTTTGTATCAAACTAATGTGTACTCATGAAAACTACCTAAGCAGGAAAAGTAAATATTCACCACCACCTAAAATTAACCTCCAGTGGCCTAAGTAGTTTTCAACACTTCCATTTCATTTGGAAGTAGAATTTAAACAAAACAGTGTTTTCCATGAAACCTGTCCCTTTGAAAATGCTAGTACTGATTCTTAATTTTTCCAATGATTTTGAGCACTTAGTTGGCCTTCCAATATATTTAAAAATTAAGTGAGTTGAATTTTTCTGATGAGATCCCAAACTAGTTTTTTTCTTTATAATTACACATCATCAGGTTTTTATTTTGGTTATGAATTTTATTTTTTAGGATGCCCTTGTTAATGATGTTATGTTGTCTCCTGATGTTTAGTGTTGTTGGGATATATTCGGTTTCTGGGGAAAGTATAATTGAAACTATAATATCAAATATCATTAAATAGATGTCAAAACAAAGCAATTATAGTGTTCCTCATTTAATAGAAAAATTCCAGTTAATTTGCTTATTTTACCATAATGAATGTGTGATTCTAACAGGAAAGAAGCTAAAATCTTTAGCAGACAGAGAACACTTTAACAAAGTTCTCACTTTAGGATTTTAAGAAAACCCTGGATATCAAGCAGTTTGTTTAAATGGTTGAGGAGTAATATACATAATGTGCTAATATTTCTTAACACACAGATTTTCCTAACCATGCTGCTGCCTCCAGAAATATCTTATTAGCCATCATCAACTTTCAGAGATGTTGTTTTAGGGTAGAAACCTTGGTGATCCATCCTCACAGAGCATGGCTGGAATGAAGGGTCCCCTGAAACTGCGAAATGAGAAGAACCAAAAAGGGTCTTGTGAGGTCATGACCCTGTAAAGGGGTTGGTTTACAGAGTGTGAAGCAGGCAATTCAACAGCTGCACCCAGGAAGCAATGCCACAAACGCCCGTGGCTGGGAATCAGAGATACTGTCATTTTGAAGGACTTCTGGATACCACCTCTATGACAGACTCACAATTTCTTTGATCTAACTTCTATGATACAGAACACTCTTTAATGTGGAATACAGTTATTTCAACAGAAGATCATTAACATATAAAGCAATTAATTGCCTTCTCTGTTGGTCTTTTGTTTGTTTTAGACCATTTTTAGGGCCCCAAGGACAAATATACTAAGGACTGTGCTCAAAATCTGAGGTGTAAAAATTCTTAAGCAAAAGCTGTACATTCCAGGCCCACTGTGGGATGTCCCAGCCTCAAGGTGTATGGACCTGGAGGGCAGACTGGCCAGCTCCTATGCTGTTTTAAGAATAGTATTTTCGTATGAGAATTGATTCCACAGAAACTTATTTTAGCTTACTTTAAAGGGCTAAATAAGTGATGGCAGGGCAAGAGCTATGGGTTGGGTGCCAAGATTTTTAGGATTTTTTTTCATGTTATTATCAACGACCTATTTTCTCAACAATGGTACTTTTCTCTGCTTCAGTTTTATCTATATAATGGATATATTCAGTTTAATTCCCATGTTCCCAAAGAAGTACTGATGGGAAGATGTGTTGATAAACACATCTTTAACTTCCTTGGAAAGAAAGAAGGCCTTTCTCTTTTTTTAGCTCCCTGAGAAAATACTTAGAGACTAATACTAGGTCAAAAATCTCACAATTTTGCTCCTCTTACTAGTGTTTTAAGGTGAAATATATTAGGGTAGGTTGTGATGTGTCTAGAAATATATTATGTATATATCTTTTCTTTGATTACAAAGTGAAGAATAAAAATACTGAATTATGGAATGTCAGGCCTCACAGGTTAGTAAAAGGTAGATGCTATAATGAAATATATCATTTTCCTTACGCTGAGGAATTTTTTGTCTCCTTCCACTCTGTTTTGAATGCCATTCTTATACATCTGTTCCACAGGAGTAGTAGTAAGACCTGTTTGAAATTTAAATCCATGACACCCCTTCCATAACAGTGGCAACCCAATCACAAAAATGATCAGGCAGAAATGCTTTTTTCTGATAAATAGGGGCAAATTCAATCTCTCTAAGGAAAACGAACACACACACACACACACACACACACACACACACACCCCGTCTATATTCAGAGTTGAGGTTTTTCTTCTACCCCCAGCTAATAAAATCGGGGGCTGCAACGAGGCTGAGCGGCACGCAGTTTGATGTCCGCAGCAGGATACAGGGAGTCAGAAGTGGCGCTGTAAATCCAATGCGGGGCTTCCACGCTGTGTGAAGTGTGGCCTGAGTCACAGAGATTTTCCTTTGATGCAAGTTCAGTATATTAATGGGAAAAGCATTCACTTTTATTTGTCTATACTGTCTGCGACAGCAAGGCTGCCTCATTTAGCCTGGGCCAACATGAAAATACACAGAGAAGCAATCTGTTGCAAATTAGCACAACCCTCCTTTCATTTACTAGCTAGTAATTGGAAGGGGTTAAGAAAGTGTAACTTATCAGATCATGTGAGCATATCTGCCTGTGTGGACAGCAAGCTTTCCCCGAATTTCCCTACGATCCCTGAGGCAAAAAGTCCTTCCCCTATGACCACTTCATCCGAAAGAAAACATCGACAGGTGTGAAATAGACACACTTTGATAGGTTTAAGAGTGCAGTTTCCTAGGCTCCTGAAGGAGGCATTAAAATCTTTTTTTGAACCTTACCTTTCTTTAGATATGTTTTTACTCTCCCGTTTCCAAATTGTCTTGAAGTCACTGCAGAACTCATACCACACCATAAACACGTAGCTGGGTGTGATCTCCTTCTCACCAGACTTTGGCTTCATCCCAAAATATCGTACTGTTGTTTCAAAACTGCAACAGGTAGGGGGGAAAATGGAATGAGGTAGAGGTGAGAAATTGCCAACACTAAAATCCATTAGAGGGGGGATGCTGGGGGCAGTTTCTCTTGTGTTTATTTTGTAACACAGAAGCTGGGGGCTCATAGTTACTGAAGTTTATTGTAAACCTCAGAAAATCTATTTGCTCAAACTGATTTGCCAAAAAATGGAACTTGATTGGGATGCTCCTGGGCACATCTTATCTGTATAAAATCAGCATGTATAATTTCTGGGGGTGTGTAGGTAAAACGTCTCGAGTTTGTTCTTCATCTCAAATCCCCGTCTCTTCCCTGCTCTTCATTTTATGTTTAGTGATTACATGCAAGGCAGATGACACACTGACTGCAGCATTAGCAGCGGTCAGTTCGATAGCTCATTGGGAATAATTAATCTGTCAAATGTTTCACAAAAAAGCAAGAAAATCCATTCTATCCTTATTCGGGCATATACTGGCTTTGTAATCTTGGGTCAATCACTCAGCATCTTTGACTCTCAATTTTCTCAAGGGTAAAATAAGAGATGTAGATGATATGATCTTCAGGAGGGCTACCTTTTAAAGCTTAATATGATACAAGAATACAAACCACTGATGTACAAAAACAGATACAGTTGTAGGCATAGCAAGTTTTGGATGAAAAACCATTTCTGATCTTGGAAAAATGATCTCCAGTCTGGTCAGTAAAGAATCCCAATTTTCCAGAGTGGATTCCCAGATATCAGTAAGACCTATCCCAGCAAGGCTCACTGCACACCAGACTACCTGGGCCTCCCAAGCAGCCCTTCTTGGAGGCACTAGCTTTGCAGCAATTTACAGCTTTGAACTCAATCTTTCCCCCTCACCCCCACCTACCCCAAGCCTCACAAGCTCATTTGCCATGAGCAAGAACACTTAAATAAATGACCCCCTTTTCTAGGGTGTTGGAAACTAATCAAAGCAGGAATGGCTGGCCAGGTTTATTACTCAATGCTCTATCATCTGTTCAGACACAGTGGTTTTTTTTTTGTGTGTGGCCATCCTGAATACTGATTTTCTAATGGAACTCTATTCAATGGCGATTGTAAAACCCTGAAGCTCCGTTACTATTATGGAGCATACTTTCATCTCATTCTCGGTTATTGGGCAATATGTATCTCATAAGATTTTATCACATTTCACAGATGAACTGTTAATTGATTCCATGGGTACGATTAGGCGAGATCCAAGCTGGAGCTGCAGCTCTGAGTCCCATAAATTCTTTGTGCTTCTGTAAAGAATAAATCTGTTTTTAATGCAAATTAAAACTACTGGTCAGGGAATTTTGGCTCCCAGTTATTAAAAGACTGGAAATGTGTAAGTGGAGAAAGGCAATAACTGCAGTAATCTCTTAAGGGACTCTATTATAATTCCAAACATACATAATGTTGAGAAAAACCGGGAAGGGAAGAATGTGGCAATGTCCACTCTTGCCCCAGACATAACCCTTATTTCCATGGCAGTCCAAACACTGGTAAAACCAAATGTACACTCTATAGCATGTAACTTTATTTCACTCAAATGAAAATTATTTTGACTATAGCATGGGAATACATAAGTAGAGAGTTATATAACCTATAGGAACAGGCCATTCATTTCCTACAAAGTCACAGGACTTTAGAATGGGAAGGAATTTACAGGATGACTTGCCCAAATTATCATTTTATAGGTGACAAAACAGAGACCTGGAAAGACTGTGTGGCATTATTCCCTGGTAGGGTTGGGCCTGGAATTCAGGTCCCCTGATTTTCTGTGAAATGCTCTGTCTACTTTATCTTTCTGTTGCTCATGCTCAATAACACAGGCATTTAAGAGACAAAATAGTCGTTTTACCCCACCCTTTTCTACTTTAGACACAGGTGTCCTCCTCTGTATCACACATAACATGCATTACCCCAGGGAGGGCATGTGATTATTTTTTCTCTTTCTTATGCTTACCTTCTATACAGATACATATTTATTTGAGCATTCATGGGGAAGGGAAAGTCTTTCATTTCTAGTATTTAGAGGGACAACTTATCTTCTGATTTTCCAGCAAAATATAGTGAAGTCCAGTTATTGTGCTTCATGGAACACCTGACACCTCTGGCATCACCTGGAGTCTAGATTGTGAGATCAACATATTGCAAATCCTGGTGCAGTTTCAGAGAATGTCAAGAGTGATTTGGTGGTTGTTGCACAGCCTGAGAAAAACACATCATCCTCCTGTGGGCCTCGATTTTCCCAACTCTAAACTGAAGCTAACCATTGCCCTCCTTGCCTCTCTCCCTGGGGATTTGTGAGGTACTGCTTGCTTACTCTCCCTGAAAGGGGGAGAAACACTAAAAAAAATACTAAATTTCAGCCTTTTTTTTCTTATGTGTTTTGGAAACTAAGAAAGCAAGTGAACCTCTTCAGAAGAACCAAAGTACACAGACTCCCAGAGGATGGCCTGGCTTTGGCACTCAGCAGCTTAGACAAAGATAAAGTCGCTTCAAGAATGTGCCTTATTTGGCCGGGCACAGTGGCTCACGCCTGTAATCCTAGCACTTTGGGAGGCCGAGGCGGGTGCATCACGAGGTCAGGAGATCGAGACCATCCTGGCTAACATGCTGAAACCCCATCTCTACTAAAAACAAAAACAAAAAAACAAAAACAAACAAACAAAAAAAAATTATTCAGGCGTGGTGGTAGGCACCTGCAGGCCCAGCCACTCAGGAAGCTGAGGCAGGAGAATGGCGTGAACCTGGGAGGCAGAGCTTGCAGTGAGCCCAGACGGCGCCACTGCAATCCAGCCTGGGCGACAGAATGAGACTCCGTCTCAAAAAACAAACAAACAAACAAAACCAGTGTGCCTTATTTGATTTCATTGTTATTCCACTGTTTAAGAAAATGCTAAAAGCTAGAATATGAACCTGCAATGGTTTGATAAGGCCTAGACTGTTGTCTTTCCTAGACAAAACTCCATTTTAAATTCAGTTTTGATTCACAGAGATTGACCACTGAAAATCTTTTGCAATTTGGACAAGAAAATTGTTGATATTTAACAACCAGGAGAATCTTCTCTAATATACAGGAAACAAAGGTCAATCATGCGATTTGAAATTTCTATTTGTTAGCAGATAGCTCTAAAATGGCTCTCAAATTTTAGAAGATTGATTTCTAATCCTATGTTTGGTTTTATATAACTTTTTCATTTCATGCAAACTAGTCCCTGACCCCTTTTCTCTCTGCTATAATTCCCTGTCTGATTTGTATCTTTTTAATTCAGCCAAACATTTTTAAAGTACAGACAATGATTACATCAAAGAGCCTGTAGCGAAGTGAACTGTTTTACTTTTACAGTCCTGAGATCCAGAGCGGAACACATCCACTTATTGTCTTACATGCATGCCTTCAGAAACTGCTTAGGAAAAGCAAATATTCCTTAGCCTCAGAGTAAATTGTTTCTCTTGAGAATAAAACATAAGAATTCACTAATCTCACACAAATATTGCAACACTGACCACAACCTCCTTAAAGAGTATAACCAAACAACTGTGGTTTCTACATTAAAGATGGGATCTAACATATTTCATGTATGACATGAAAGCTAGACTACCTTCACCACAAAGCCACGGAAAACGCTGACAACCAGAATTTATGACTCCCCTCCACAGAGCTAATGCACGGCAGCAGTTTCGGCCCCTCCACGCTGGGCCCCCTTTTCCTTCAGCAAGAATCCTGAAAAAGTATTAGAAATTTGACATCCGCCCCAGAAGCTGAATTTCTGTTTGGCCTGACACCAACGTGCCCTTGTTGATAATCTCTTATGTGCTGGATGTTTCTATAACACAGACGTGCTAGTTTTATGCATTGTGAAGGGAAGCTTAACATAGGAATAAGGTCAATAGAGAGACACAAACTCCTAAAAACATAGCCATGGAATTATCTCAGTTTTGAATGATTATTATGATAGGATGATAAGCACGATTTGAGAATATGTCTGTACTTAGCAAAGTGCAAGACTTGCCTTCACCTTGCTTTCACCAGCATTTTAATCTTATTGGTAATTACAGTGGGAAGCAGGGCAAGATGTTGGCACCTGTGAAAGCAGGGCAGATGGCACCGTCTATGGGATTTCAGAAGTCTCGGAAATTGTGGCTAGACAGGAGGAAAATGGTTAATTTCTACAATCTGTTTATTTGCATTTAAATTCCTAACTGGGTAACTGTTCCTCTCACACATTTGTAAAGCTCATTTGTCCTTAGATGCTGTCTCCTACCTCTACCTGTCATCTAATTTACCAGTACTTTTAGAATTCGTACCAGCAAAATGTATCTCAAATTTCAGCCCTAAATATGAGAATACCGCTGTCTATTGCCACTCACTCTTCTATGAGGGAGGGAGAGCCACACTGACTAACCTGGTCAACTAACAAAAAGGAAAAAGCCCTAAGGGATGAGAACTGCTGATGATTAGGTTCCACTGGGTGGAGTGAATGGTTCCCATGTGATATCTATTGAGAGAGTGAGCGAGCAAGAAGATGCCTGAAGTGGGTGACATGAATCTGAACAGAAGATCTCTGAGGTGTTCCCCAACTTCTGGGGGAAATTGTCCATACGCTGTATGGGCATATGGACAGCCCCTTCTCCCCACCTGAACATATGGACAGCCCCTTCTCCCTACCTGCCCCTTGTTTATAATATCCTCCTCTAGAAGCTGAGGAAAGACATAATAAGTCTCTTGGGTGTCTGCAATAATTAGTTTGATCTAGTTGTAATGCCAGGAAGGATCAAACTGTCCCTGACTTCCATCAAGCGGTTCAGGAGCAGAGCAATGCAGGACAGGCAAACAGGCAGAATAGTGTCATGACACGCATGTGAGGCAGGTGAGTCACTTCTGGATGATTCCTCACTTCCTGAGGAAAAATATTCCTAAGTCCTGCTACAGTGCTTTCACTCCAGCTTCCAAGTGAAGCTTATTGCTTATGGATGCATAGTCTTAACACATGGGGCCGAAAGTAGGGCTAGTCAAACCTTATGCTACAGGAAAGAAGTCAGTCACACAAGGACAAATACTGGATGACCCCAATTGCATGAGGTAGCTAAAGTAGTCGAAGTCACAGAGACAGAAAGTAGAACGGTGGTTGCCTAGGGACAGGGGAGTGGGGAATGGGGAATTTGTGTTTAAAGGGTATAAAGTTTCAGTTGGGGAAGTAAAAATGTTTTGGAGATAGAACTGCATAGCAAAATGAATGCACTTCATAATAATAATACAAAAGAATGGCTAGTCAAAGAAAGAACTGGGGCCAAATCAGAGCTGCTTACCTTTTCTGTGCATTCTCCAAGTGACTTTCTTCCATCTTATGCTCTTTTTTGGCTGTAAAAGATAAATCATGATTAAAAATTTTTTCTTCTGTTGTCTCCTTTGCGTAATCTTACAGCTTCAATTACACCCATTCATTACCACAGGAGGTCTGAATTCGGGGGGGGGGGGGGGGGTAGCCTCTAGCACATGTCCTGGCAATAACACTCAATTTGCTTTATTTGCTACCACTGCTTTTTTTTTTTTTAAATTATACTAAGTTCTAGGGTACATGTGCACTACGTGCAGGTTTGTTACATATGTATACATGTGCCATGTTGGTTTGCTGCACCCATCGACTCGTCATTTACATTAGGTATTTCTAATACTATCCCTCCCCCAGCCCCCCACCCCCCAACAGGCCCCAGTGTGTGATGTTCCCCACCCTGTGTCCATCTGTTCTCACTGTTCAACTCCCACCTATGAGTGAGAACATGCAGTGTTTGGTTTTCTGTCCTTGTGATAGTTTGCTGAGAATGATAGTTTCTGGCTTCATCCGTGTCCCTGCAAAGGGCATGAACTTACCCTTTTTTATGACTGCATAGTATTCCATGGTGTATATGTGCCACATTTTCTTAATCCAGTCTCTCATTGATGGACATTTGGCTTGGTTCCAAGTCTTTGCTATTGTGAATAGTGCCACAATAAATATACATGTGCATATATCTTTATAGTAGCATGATTTATAATCCTTTGGGTATATATCCAGTAATGGGATCACTGGGTCAAATGGTATTTCTAGTTCTAGATCCTTGAGGAATCACCACACTGTCTTCCACAATGGTTGAACTAATTTACACTCCCAACAGTGTAAAAGCGTTCCTATTTCTCCACACCTTCTCCAGCATCTGTTGTTTCCTGACTTTTTAGTGATCGCCATTCTAACTGGAGTGAGATGGTGTGTCATTGTGGTTTTGATTTGCATTTCTCTGATGACCAGTGATGATGAGCATTTTTTCATGTGTCTATTGGCTGCATAAATGTCTTCTTTTGAGAAGTGTCTGTTCATATCCTTTGCCCACTTTTCGATGGGGTTGTTTTTTTCTTGTAAATTTGTTTTTCTTTGTGGATTCTGGATATTAGCCCTTTGTCAGATGGGTAGATTGCAAAAATTTTCTCCCATTCTGTAGGTTGCCTGTTCACTCTGATGACAGTTTCTTCTGCTGTGCAGAAGCTCTTTAGTTTAATTAGATCCCATTTATCTATTTTGGCTTTTGTTGCCATTGCTTTTGGTGTTTTAGTCATGAAGTCTTGATAACAGACATAGCTAATAGTGGCCAAATAATTTATTGTTTCCTCTGGGATACTTTTGAGAGTAATGTTAATAATTACACCTAGGCAAAGACATAAATTAGGGAAATCTTGGGTAGATCACGACATGTGGTCCCTCTTGCACGTCTCATCATGTTCCCCCTTACTCTAAACATTATAAATCCAGTAGCATTTGCAGCAGTGCTGCTCAGAGTCATGGGAATCTTGCCGCATACTGCCTCCACACCCACAGGCCCTTTTGGCAGTCTAGGGAAGCCCATGGACTCTTGTCAGAATAATGTTTTCATAAGGTTACTAAGAAAATCAGTGATACTAAGATACAATTCTGAATCCACAGGTTAAGAACCTATGTTCTTTCTATAGGATTATCAAGAGGTTTCATTTTGGGGTGGTTCTTTTATATATCCTTCTCTACAATCAGAAGATATATTATTATATATGAAAATACCACTCTCACACTTTAAAATATCCAGAAAAATAGGAAAGTTGTTAACATAAGCTACAACATAAGTTGTTATGTTATTATGTAACATGTTATTATGTAACATAAGCCTTCAGATTCCTTTAATTTAGGGCTACAATGATGTAAAATGAACGAAAATAAGTAAGTCTCGTATCTAGGATCTATGCTGTGATACTTCATGAAAGATAAGGGATTTTGAAACATCACCCTTTTATTAAACCTGGCCCTACCACTTACTATCTGTATGACTTTGGCAAGTTAGTTAAGACCAAATGCTTAGTTATTGCCTCATCTGTCCCATGAGAACAGCCATAGTGACCATTATCATACAGCTGCTGTAAAGATTTAATGAGATAATACATGCAGAGTGCTTAGCACATAATGTGTGCTCAATATAGGCCATGGCAGGTATTAATACTACATTACCATAATCTTCCTCATTGATTTTAAAATGTAAAGGCTCCCCTGCTCAAAACCTTCCAATGGCTTGTCTTGCCATCAGCCTTGACATAGTATCTACAGTCTTCAAAATGCTCTAGAAGGCCCTGCACTTAAGTCGGCTCCCTGGCTGTTTGGTGGCATTACCTCCTCTTTCCCACACCCCTTCCTTTCCAGCTTCGCTGGCAGCTGCCTCTGGCTTGAGCGCACTGAGCGTGCACATTGGAGGATCTTTGCACTTGCTGTTCCTCCTCTCTGGAACACCCTGACCACAGTCTGCACGATGGGCTCCCTCACTGCATTGAGGTCTCAGCAGAAGTATCTCCTTCTCCAGCTTCCGTAAATAAAAGACCATCCCTTGCCACTCATCATCTTCCTACTACCCCTCCACACACACCCTCTACCCCTACCTTCCTTCCATAGCCTTCCCACAGCCTCTATCTACCTAACAGACTATTCCTTTCCTCATGTGTTTATCATGCAACAACTGAATGTAAGCTCTAGGAGGGCAGCAGCTTCACCTGGCTTGCTTTCTGCTGTAGCCTTAATTGTAGAAAACTGGCTATATGTTAAAGCAATCATTTTAGCTTAAAAATGCATATATTGGATAAAGCTTGCTTAAAAAGAGATATACTGGCTTTCCTGAAAAAACTTTATATTTAGAATATGAACATAAGCTAAAGAAGATTGAGAGGCTAATGTTGTATACCATTATCTCTAAATGTAGTATATTTCAACTAGTAAAACTTATTTTGTTTTATATTAAAATGATTCAGCTTTCATAAGTGCATCATTTTAGGCAGACGGAAGCCATGGCCAGGGCCATCTTTTGCTGTCTGATGTCCCCCCATACTCTTGGCAGGAATTTCTGTGAATTAGTCTGGTACTTAGCCAATCAGATACTGAGAAATGACCTGTGTCTCTCCTAGGTTATCAAGTTCCCCAAAATGTGAAACAAACTAGTGATCTGTTCTTCTCCAGTGATTTTAAGTTATGTGCATAGCCAAACAGGAGGAAAAATTCCTCTGAGGCCCGAGTGATCTTCTTGGACCAGCTCTGCTCTCTCAGCAGATGGTTTCTAACTGGCTACTTCCAAGCTGTGTGTGCTAAGCAGAGTGTGGCCAAGCCATAACTGTATATGAATTTAGTGACAAGAAATACCCTATTCAAACTGAATTGAGCATCAGGTAAGATTTTGCAATACCTCTGTGAATATGGTGATTTGGAGAAACAGAGTCTAAATGTAAAAAGAGGTATTATTAAGAGCCAATGCACACTGCAGAAAACTCTGAGGGTTTAGGGAAAAGGGCCTTCAGGAAAATGAGAAGAAATTAGAGATTTAAATGTTCCCTAATTTTGCCCTTGTACAGATACAAAAGGCATCTACCTTTATGGTGTGACTTGGAAGCTCTAACAGCATGAAATATTTCTCCTACTTGAATGTGTAAAATTTTAAACCAGGCCATTACACATTTTAAGTCTTCAAGATGCTCTAAGCAAAACACAAATACATGACCTGGAAGAACCATGTTTAAAGACTGGAGTCACAAACTCAAATTCTAATACCATCAACAAATAAGGTCACTGTGGGCCAAGTATAAGAATCCCGGTGTTCCAACGTTCTAGTTCTAGCTTTTCAATACGGGAACTATATATCATACAATTGCTCCACAAGAACAATTCTGAAGTTCATAGTTCCACAGCCTACCAAGTGAAGCAGAAATGGCTTTCTATTCCATGGCTATGGGCCCAAGGAATGCAAATCAGAACTCATGATAACTAACTGCCAAGCTTTAACCCTAGCTGTGTCACCTGAGTGTCATGAGCCAATCACAGTGTCCTGTGTTTCAGTCTCCTGCTCTGTCAAATGGAGATGATGATACCTACCCTCCCACATAGTTGCAGCCAGTCTTTGCAGTCAGGTCTTTGACAGTTCAACGTCATGCCATGGCTGCTGGGGGTTCAAGCTTCCAGTGGGTTGGCTGTTTTGCCAGAGTTAAATGAAGTGTAGCATAGAGGAAAGAGCTTGGGTTTTGCACCAGGTGGACCTGGGTTTAATTTCTGCTCTGATACTTATTAACTGGGTGATCGTCAGAAAATCACTTAACTCCACTGAGCCTTATCCGTAAAATGGGAATAATAAGATCTACCTTGCAAAGTGCTTGTGACTATGAGATATACTGAACGTGTGAGATTAATCTAGTGACTGACATATGATGGGCATTCCAGAATGGCAGCCATTTATTGTCTATTGGCTAGAAGCAAATGCTAGTAGTCACTACTCTAGCTTTCTGACTTTTTGGCATGGTTATCACAAAATTGCACACAACATGCTTTCTTTAGAATGTTCATAACTGCTTTCAGTAGACAAGAATTTTGGTTGTTATCATTTATGCTCAAAACTTTAGTGTTTTTTTTTTTTTCATTTCACTCACTGAGCTGATGTCCTTAGCATGGCCTGTAAAAGGCTTTTCTACAAAAGGGTGGTTCCCTATGTCTGACCTAAAGTCATTTTATTTGCTGTTTCAGCTCATTTTGTTTTATTTCATCCTCAGGAGAAAGAGAAAAACTTATTTATAATTTAACAAATAACTGGGAGTCATGGGGGTGGATGTGAGGGGAGAGGTACTTAATGATTACTCTCACCTGTTTTTTCCCCTTAATGACCATGGAGTTCTGTAATCTTTGACCTGATTAACTGGATCACTTCCCCAATACCAAATAAAAGACAATGATACAGGAGTCTTTTTTTGAGAGGTTAAGTTTTCTGAGAGCTAAGATTCCTTCCTTAACCTCTAGGCTCTATATGGTGACCTGTAACAGGTTCCCCTCATTGCACAGTAAATTCAATTCTCTTTGTTGCCACCAAAACTGCCATTTTAGAAGGCAAAGTGAACTATGCCCCTTTTCTGCTTAATGTTCTCACTGGTTCCTCCTCTGAAGACAAAGTGCATTTGCAGTTCACAGTGTGCCCCTCACACCTGCCTCCTGCCATCCCCATACTATCATCCCCAGAGCTCCTGCTGCGTGGGACTCATGGCTGGTCTCTGGACTCAACTTGCTGCATGGTGTCTTTATTTTTGGGCACTTTGCTCCTTCTGTTTCTAATGCCTTCTCTTCCTTGCCCTTCTCCCTTCTCCTACCCTTCTGTTTGAATGTCTTCTCTTTCTTTGAAAACCAAGCTTGAAAATCTCCTCTGAGGGGCCCTCCATGCCTCTCCCCCATAATGTGGTGAGCCGTTCTTTCTGTGGAGATCCAAACACACTATCTCCCCACAATTCCTTATCACAGCACACAGAATGCTATGTCAAGGTCACTGGCTTGCAGCTGGCTTTTCCCACTGGACTCTGTGCTCCTTTCAGAGTTGCAACCAAAATCTGTTTTCAGAGTTTTTCTCTCAACTATTACCTAGCAGGTACTCAAATACTTATTTTTTTTTTTCTTTTGAGACAGGGTCTTGTTCTTTCACCCAGGCTGGAGTGCCGTGATGCAATCTCAGCTCACTGCAACCTCCATCTCCCGGGTTCAAGTGATTCTCCAGCCTCAGCCTCCCAAGTAGCTGGGATTATAGGCACGCACCATGGCTGGCTAATTTTTGTATCTTTAGTAGAGACAGGGTTTCACCATGTTGGCCAGGCTGGTCTCAAACTCCTGACCTCAAGTGATCCATCTGCCTCAGCCTCCCAAAGTGCTGGGATTACAGGCGTGAGCCACCGTGCCCAGCCTTGTGTACTTATTTGACAGATGGAAAAGTACACAACAGAAGAACCCATGTTAGCAGAACACAGTCCCTACTCATTAAGTGCCTGTTTTTTGGCACAGAAATTTCTAATCTTCCATCTTTTGTTTGCAACAAAATAGTGAAGAGTAGAGTAGAACTGAAAAGCAAGAGATTACTATGCCCATCCTATGTCCTGCTTTTAGACTGATACATTAACACAGGCACAAACAGCACTAACACTATAGGGAGGCACAAATAGCATTAACCCTCCAGTTTCGTCTGTATCAGATTGAGTCTTTAAAATATACTATTTTCCACAGTTAACTTTGAAAAAGAGAAAGTTTTTATAAATAAAATGATATTTCCATAAAATATTCAGACTAAGAACATTCACCATTTACATGTACCCAAATAACCGAAGTTTTTATTCTCAAGAGGGTGGCATTCATACAATGAGAGTGGCTGAAGGAGGAGGCCACTCTTTAAAGAAAGTGGGGCTTTTATGCCAAACGCAATTAAGTCCTATTTATGGATGCCCATCTGGGAGGCAGTAAATTGTGAAATAAGGGGAAGGGATAAGGGTTGGAGTATCTTCCTAGTATTCTTTACACAGTCTATTACACTTTAATATACCATGGTTTATGGACCTGACATGGTTGGTATAAACCAACAGGACGCACAGTTAAGAAGTTGTTTTTATTACAGCTCTACAAATATGGGAGCCGGGTGATGCTAACGAGGAAACAAAGGGACTGCGCTCTGCTTCACGTGGGATCCGTCTGATGTGAGTGTGGCAATCGTTTTCCATTTCTTAGAAAATCCCCGTTGTGCACTTTCCAGGAGAAACAAATGCTTTACACCAACAGAGGCACAGCACGCTGACATCGGAAAGGGATGGCCTTTTAACATTTGAGAGAAGAAAACAACAGATATTTGGAACCAGTTTGTGATGCAGAGTTCTTACCCTTACATTTTTCCTTCTGGTATGCTTGCCCATGGAGGACGATATCCTTGCTGGTCTTCCTAAGTTATTAGTTTTCCTGGTTGTGGTGAAATTAGAAGAGTGATCATTTCTGGTCTGTCAGAGCAAGTGTCTAAGCTGGATGGTAAAGTTGAAGAGTAGAGGGCCACCTGTGAGATTTTCTGTGTAAAGTGTTATGAGGTTGTATAAAGACATGCTGTCAAGGTTCCTAGTGTAGGGTGTAGGATTTCCAGGTCACTTGCCTAAGGCTAAAGTGGACTAGGAAACTAGGCTTTTGGTGAAAGTACCAAGTAAAGGACATTGTGTCACTACACTCTGAAGAGGTCTTCAGAGTCATAAAATAAAAAAAAAAAATCCAGTTAAAAGGAGTCTTCAAATGGTCATCTAGTCTACCTCCCAGGCTGATGTGCTATCCTGGATCCTCTTATTTCCAGTCAGACTTTGCAGACCTTGTCTTTTTCATCATTTTATTTGCTTTTTTTTTTTTTGAGACGGAGTCTCGCTCTGTCACTCAGGCTGGAGTGCAGTGGTGCGATCTCGGCTCACTGCAACCTCCGCCTCCTGGGTTCAAGCGATTCTCCTGCCTCAGCCTTCTGAGTAGCTGGGATTACAGGCACATGCCACCATGCCTGGCTAATTTTTGTATTTTCGCCATGTTGGCCAGGCTGGTCTGAAACTCCTGACCTCAAGTGATCCACCCACCTCAGCCTCTCAAAAGTGCTGGGATTACAGGCATGAGCCACCACACCCAGCCTTTTTCACCATTTTAATCTGCCATTTCTAGTTGCCCCTTAAGTGAATTGGAGTATTTTATGGACACTAAACAAACAAACAAACAAACAAACAAACAAAACCACGAAATGGTATCACCTAACTTGGGCACCTGGGGCTGTTCTCAACCAGGGTCCTTCATCTGAACTGCAGAACACAGAAAAGGATTTGAGAAGCTATTTTCTCAGTTTCCCCATATACACATCACCGGGAACATTCTAAATGTCTAGGACAATGCCAACTCATTACACACAATGGCAGAGATAGGGCAGTACGACTTAATTCCCTTACACATAGTTGAAAATGTGAGTCCTGAGGCAATCAAACTTACAAGTGACTTATAATATTAAGTCATTTACACTTTTATACAGGCTGAGTACTCCTTATCTGAAATGCCTGAGGCCAGAATTGTTTCCAATTTCAATTTTTGTCCCCCACATTTTGGGATACTTGCATATACATAATGTAATACATTGGGGATGGGACCCAAGTCTAAAGATGAAATTCATTTATGTTTCATATATACTTTATACATAGAGCTTGAAGGTAATTTTATTCTTCCCTCAAGGACACTGAAAAAACTGTCTATTGTGCTCCTGCATTTTGGCCGAGACCGTCACATAAAGTCAAGTGATGGGTCTTGTCAAAACGCAGGTGCGCAACAGACAGTTTATTCATGTCATGTCAGTGCTCAAAAAGTTTCAGATTTTGGAGCATTTTGCATTTTGGATTTTCAGATTAGAGATTCTCAGCCTGTATCTCTAAATCTAGTACGATGATATTCGTAAAATATCTTATTGGTATAACAACATGAATTACAAAGTGCTGTTTGCATACAATAGAAAGGGTCAGACCTTCTACAATAGAAATATTTCAGGTGTCATGTATTCATTTATATTCTCTGGTGACTGTAATAATAATTTGTATAGGTGACAGGTACAATTTCAGAGATCACAATATACAGTTGGCCCTCTGTATCTGTGGGTTATGGATTCCACCAACTGCAGACTGAAAACATTTGGGGAAAAATGGATGGTTGTGTCTGTGCTGAACATATACACGCTTTTTTTTTCCTTGTCATTCCCTAAACAACACAGTCTAACAACTAGTTATATAGCATTTACATTGTATTAGGTATCATAAGTAATCTAGAGATGATTTAAAGAATGGGTGTAGGTTATAGCAATTACGACACCATTCTATATGAGAGACTTGAGCATCTGTAGAGTTTAATATCCATAAGGGTCCTGGAACCAATCCTCCACGGATACTGAGGGATGACCATAATCTCAAACACTTAACCACATTATACATCTAGTCTGTGATCAATAGTAACTACTGCAAAAGTAAACATTTTATCAAGTCACAGTTCTAGGAGGTAATCGGACACAAGTATAATTGGGATCTAAATGAAGTATATTTACCCACACTTTTTCAGAAGTAAACTCACTTTTTTTTTCCCAATATATTTTCACTAGAGATGAGATGCTTTGCCCCAAGGTAAGTCTTTCAACCATTTACAATACTGACAAAACACTTGGCCTTCAGACTTTATGAAGGATTTTGTTCATTCTTCTTAAAGGCAATCATTTGATTTGTGGCTGATATTCTACTACTTTTGTTCCTCTGCTTCTGTGTAGTCCAGTGAAGTCCCTCAATGCTGCACAACTACCTGTATGCAGAAACATCTTGGCTTCGAGTGATACAGATGCAATTCCTTGATGAAGTTGATAAGACAGTATAACCTTAACCTTGCTATAACTTAGCCCAACTATTTAATCTCAACGTGGAGAAAATGGATACCCAAGTAGATGAAGCGACTATTTGGATTACACTAATAGTCACAGAATCCAGGACTTTTGACTAATAATTTAATAATTTTGGCTAATAATGTGACTAATAATCTACATTTTCCAACGCTCCCTGCTGCTTCCCAAGGGGCAGCATTTTTCTCCAGGATTCCCAAACACCGAGGTGGTATTTCGAAGCTGCACTGTACTACACATCTTCCATAGGAATAGATACATCAGAGAGAAAGTTCCAAGATGGAATTTCAGCTTTCACGCTAAATTTCCTGACTCTTGATGCTTTAAAACAGACCGTGGGGGTACAATTTCAGAATGATCTGGTGAGAGACTCATTAACATTAATGGGAGTCAGGTGGTCACATTCTCAAACAGGGCCTGAAATTCTCCAAGTTATACCATCTTCTAGACCCATATATGTCTTTAACTTATCAGCATTAATAGAAGTGACAGATGTCTTTTGTAAAATGCTTTTCCTTAGTTATTTTTCACAGATATTTCTAAACAAGCATATTTATAAAATATAATTTTCACTTAAGGGATAATTATACATAAATCTATTTCCTTGTAATTAAAAAATAATTATACATAAATCCTGTTTCCTTGTAATGTCTACCTTGTCTCCCAGCCATCTCATTTCCAACGGGAAGGGTCTGACCTTATACAATACTTTAGAAGTATTTCAGGTGTCATGTAGGGAAACTAAACTCTATAGCCTCATCATTCAGACAGCAGACACCATTTAGGAAATATTAGGAATTGCAAAGAAGCTAAATTTTTAAAAGAAGGCTTCTTGCATTTTGTTTCATCAAGAACCTTAGTGAAATTTCAAAAGCAATGGGGTTTACAATCACAAGGCTCTGGATAACCATTTGGTGATAAATTGCAGGTATTCTAATTTGGAGGAAGCTCTTCTTTCCCAGACAACTCTGTCTCATCTTAACATTAGCACTAGTCTGAAGGTGTATAGTTTCTGAAAGGCATGGACTACGGCCTTTTTCTTTCAAACTTTGTATTCAAATGCTTAGCACTTGAGACTATAAACCTAGTATTTATAAATCGGTAACTTGTTGCTTTATTAATTGGTGAGAATGTCCACAAAAGTGTGAATTTGTAGCAGGTTCATGAGCAAAGTGGTAATAGGCTGCATGTTTATTTTATTTTATTATTATTATTATTATTTTTGAGACAGAGTCTCGCTCTGTCGCCCAGACTGGAGTGCAGTGGTGCGATCTCGGCTCACTGCAAGCTCCGCCTCCCGGGTTCATCCCATTCTCCTGCCTCAGCCTCCCGAGTAGCTGGGACTACAGGTGCCCGCCACCACGCCCAGCTAATTTTTTGTATTTTTAGTAGAGATGGGGTTTCCCCGTGTTAGCCAGGATGGTCTCGATCTCCTGACCTCGTGATCTGCCCGCCTCAGCCTCCCAAAGTGCTGGGATTACAGGCGTGAGCCATCGCGCCCGGCCTGCATGTTTATTTTTATTTCTTCTTTAAAGTAGTGTTCTTCAAAAGCAACTCTCATTTTTTTAACCTCATAGCATTTTAGTACTAGATATTCAGCAAATCTAAAGAAAGAAAGCACCTCATGTTAATTTTTTTTAATGGAAGAAAAAGTTCTCCAACTAGCTTCTTTGGGTTTCCCATAACTGCCTCTGATGATTATCTATGATATTTAGGGCCAATACTTCATTCTTCAGACTTTAACTTGTCCATATGTACACTAGATAAAATGAAACCTTACACTTGAAAACTATGGAGCTATACAAAACTTAAGAAATTACCTCATATAAACCCCTCATGCTATAGTTTAAAAACAAGCTAAGTTAAACAATAATAGGAGACTGAATAGATAGTGGATTTTCCAATAACGGAATCACGTACTGGAGTGTGTCCCCTTCCCTTCACCAGCCATAGCTACAACTAAGATCCAAGGACAGTCAACCTAATGCTTATAAAGTAGTCTAATACAATGGCCTAGCACAGTCAGATTGGTGGTGGTGGTGGTAATGATGGCGATGAACATTCACTGAATACTCAGTATGCCAGGTGCTATGATACTAAATTCTTAGGTTCTACACTGTGGATTAACAGTGGAGCCGAAGCTTCCAAGTGCTCCATTACTTTCTAACTATTGACACTGGGTCAGTTGTTTAATGTGGCTAAGACTCAGTTTTCTCATCTATAAATGAAAGTAATGATAGAGCCTACATTCGACAGCTGTAGTAATTAAAAGAGATGTTTGTAAGGTGCTCGGCCATGGCACCTGGCACATTAGTTAAGTAAATACCGATTATGATAATGACTACCATCACTATAATTCTTTGTAATCCAGTGACATTTGCTTGTGCAGCCTTTCTTGGGTTCCTGTGAAACTTCTCTGGGGAATTTCAGCACCCTGTTTCTCCTTAGTAATACGTGTATCCCTACAGTAAGCTCCCAAGGATTAAAGCACACTTCCTAGACCCACATACCACAAAACGTGCTTGCAAAAAATATCACGGGAAAATGCTATGACAAAATTATAAATAAAGAATATAAAGCAGTGGCATGATGTGCCTAAAGTTACGTCAAAAGGTATATCACACACATTATATATATAGTTATCAAAATATTGAATCCATAAAAGAGTCAGAAGGTAACATACCAAAATATTATGGTTGCTATTTCTGCCTCTCTGGTTAAGAGGATTTTTGTTTTTCATTTGTTTTTAGTTGCTTTTTGAAGAAAGGGGCTCATTTAATATAATCAGAAAAAGAAACAACAGATGCTGTTTGGAGGCAGCTGCAGAGCACTTTGAAAGCGAGTGACCTGCCTAAGGTCATACAAATAGTTTTGGGCAAAAAAGAAAGAAGCTGTCCCCTGACTCCCGACTAGTTTTCACTAGGCCACACTGTGATTCTTTATAGGTTCCTGCTGAAAAACTGTAAAACTGTCATATTACTACAGTGGAACAATAGAGAAATAAGTCGTAACAGAAAAACAACCATTGTCACGGATAAGTTAAATTTCATTGGGCAGTCACCCACATTAAAGTCCTTTATTCACACCTTATACTCACAGGCAACATGAAATTCTACAATCTCTATAAAGTAACCATTCTACATATTTTTTACAAATTGTTCAGAAGGACATCCAATATTAAGAATAGTTTCAATCACATTATAAAGAGTAAAATTCAGATAAAAAGCTATTAGGCATGGTCAGAGATTTTAATGGCTTAAGACTGACGTTAACTAAAGAAAAACTAAGAGAAGAAAGAAGCCATACTTATACATGATTTACAATATACAGCATCATACCTTGACAAAGGAAATTTCTTGTTCTAGATCTATTTACACGAAACCTCTGACATCTGTGTAGCTTAACACATTTGTTAAATAGCTGAAGCTCTCCCTCTAGAAAAATAATTGTTCAGATGTTTAGTCATAAAAATGAATAGACTACCAGAACGTCCTGTAAATAATCATGAAATAGCCATTGCTATCCTTAAATCAATCTTCTTTTAAAACCCTGGCAAAGGCTAAATGTACTTAGGAAACTGAATTTACATGGCCACAGAACCCGACAAAAGTCTAATTTCCCTAATATTGGCTATTGCTTACAACATCAAATTACTTTTTAACCCATTTTTATTTCACTTGGTCAAGGGTTTGTCATAGCTGGAGGTTTAAAACGGGTCCACTAGAAATGGTACCCAAGAATTAACACGATGACTTCAAGAGCTCTGATGTTACCAAGTATCTAGGTGTGATGAAGGTCATAATCTGTCTCTTGGGTGATATTTGCAGGAAAAGAAAATGCTGAGAGAACTGGGATTCCCAAAGAAGATGCTGCAGAAGATATTTTCCACATTAAAGAACATTTGATCTGTTCCACCAGTAGATGAACCATTAGCAGAAGCAATCATTATCAGAGCCAGTAAAAGGAAATAAAGAAATGAGGCTTGGTTTTTAAAGTGACCACATTGCTTCTAAGTCGAGGTGAAAGTGCTGACAGTGAATTTATCAGAATTCCAGGTGGAATCCTCCAGAGTCACCTTTCAATCATAACTGTCATCCTCAGAGAAAAAGCTTTTGTTGAAGAAAAATTTGTACAAACATTGAATAATCACATTGATATGGTAACAATTTAACAATACATTCAATAAGAATGAATGTTACAGTGGGTCACTTTTTCCCTGCTTTTTATCAAACCTTTGTATTTTCCCCAGATTTTACAAGTAATAAATCCTCATTGTAGAACATTTGAGAAAGATATAAATAAGAAAATAAAAGCAGTGCATAAGACTTTCTCTGAGCAATGGCCACTATTAATATGCTGATTCATTTCATAAATGTATATATTTATAATCACACACTCATTTGTGCTTTAGTTATATAGTTGAAATTATATTGAATGTAATGTCCTTTCTTGCTTTTTCATTTTTTCCCTTGCATTTTATTTAACATAAAGGTATAGGTATAGGTCAACTTCTAAATGAATACTTTTATAATGAATTTATATTTAAATTTACAATTATTAAAAATAATTGTTGAAAAATTAGCCTTTATTTCAAAGTGAGTATGGAACCTATTCAAACAAAACATTTTCTAGAAACTCATGAAAGCATTTCAGAATAATTTTTTGACAGTTCTTCCTAAACGAGATCTTGTAGGAAAGAAGTGTTTATGAAGGATTATTAAAATATTACCAAATAGAATTAAGGCAGATTTTTATCTTTTGATTTAACTTGGAAATCATCCATTGCTTCACCCTTTAGTCTTCCTATTTTTGCGCCTTAGAGAAATGTTTTACATGGCTACCAGTGCATTTTAAAATAGTGTCTAATACTGCAAAGTAAGTTGAGATTTCTTTATCCTGTGCTTAAACCTAATATATACTACTTATTCTGTATTTGAAAAATATAGTATAAAGAAAATACCCTTAATGCAAAAAATATTGAGGATCAGTATATTCTTGGAAGCAAATGTGAAGCCTCTGTGTATATGACAAGCCACACACACAAGCACGCATTCAGTAGGAAACAGATCTCCCTCGAAATCTGAGAGGGTAAAATGTTCAAATATTATGCAAACTGGAGAAGTGCCACCATCTCCTGTACGCAGGAGCCTGAAGCTAATTGTACAAGTGGCACGAAGCTGATTTCAGAAAGTAAAAAAAAAAAAAAAGGCTCATGAAACCAGAGGCTTGAAATGTTTTACTGGAGAAAAACCATAGCATTACCTCCTCCTGTGGGATGATAACAATGATTTATGAAGCTGAAGTCATTCCTTGTGATTGCACTTCAGGGAGATTGGTTTCACATGATCTGCGAAGGCAGGCAAGGCGAGCTGAAGAAGAACCCCACATGTTCAACTGAGGCTGAGCTCTGCCTCTTCAAGGGGATTCCAGAGCTCCGAGGAGGGGGAGGAAAACCTACTGCTTTCTGATCCATGCAACCCCCTTCCCCCCAACCAACAAGCTTATTAGGTGGACATACGGCTCTCTTATTTTCTCTCTCCTTTTAAAAAGTATTACTACTTCTGCTGTGTGGGAGTAGAAGCTTGTTGTAAATGCCCAGCAGGATAGTAGCAAAGCCAAGATTAATTCCCTATGGATTTATATGGGTCGTTCTCACCCACGATGACTTGTACCGTTTCAAAGGTGCTTATGCTGCTGTTTTTATGGCTGGTCACTAACTTTATTCTGGCATATGGTGGTTGGCGCCATGACATGGAGTGAACATTTTATACCTGAATTAAAGTGGATATTTGACAGTTTCTGTCAGAAAGTTCAGAGCAAAGAATTTGTGGGACAAGATTTATTGCATATTTTATATGGGACACATCTGTTTCTTTGCTAGCTTTGTTCCTTCCCACAAAAAAATTTAAAGACGTTTCCTAAAGAAATATAATGACTGATAGGAAAAAAATTCCAAAGCAGAAGAAAAATATGGTCAAAAGTTGGGCATTTAGGATCTAACTTTATAAAAAAGAAAGAAAAAAAACCACTTCTCATTTTGACGAGGAAAAATGACTCACAGTCATGTATAGAAGCTCAGTGAAACAATGCTGTTATTATTGGCAATTATTTTATGGTTAGTTTAATGTCATTTATATAATGAAATTAAAAATGTAAATGTATTACCTACCATTTTTCGCATACTTGAAACAGGACTGGCAAGAATAATCTGCCTTTGATGTATTTTTAAGATTTTGCCATCTCAAATGGTGGACTGAATAATAAGTCCAGCTACATCAGTGTTAAACAAAATAATTACAGATATTTAAACATTTAAAACTGATATGCCTAAAGATAAACGCAGACGACTTCCAACCAAAATCCATCAATACAACCTGAAGGGTGTATATAAACTTCTCATCTAAAAACTCCCTGTATTGTAAAAAGTCAACTGAGTAACAAAGATTCATGATTACAACGTGAAGGGTGTATATAAACTTCTCATCTAAAAACTCCCTCTACTATAAAAAGTGAACTGAGTAACAGAGATTCATGATTACATAAAAAGCGGGCTCAACCTGAAACTTTGCGTTAACAGACAGGCCACTTTTTCTTTTAACTGCAAAGAGAGAGGCTTTAATTCTATTATGAAACTGAAAATAAAACTTCCACTCTTAAATATTTTGCAAAATTAATCCTTAACTAATTTAGGTTATATGCATTCTCCTTATAAAAATATAAAACATTACAGATAAAGTCCCCCTGATAGCCCTCTGCATCACACCCTCTGTCTCCCCCAACACATATATATATATAGTTATCTTCTACAACTCAAGTACTGTTATCATTTTGGGAGTATCCTTCCAGAACTTCTGAGTGTCCCTGTGCAAACATGCAAGGTTTCTCTAAGACAGACATAGAGAAGTAGATTTGTTAGTGTTATCAGGTAGACATAGTTTTAATTTATTTGAGACTGTCAGTCCTCCACAATGATAGTATAATTTAATACTACGAAGGGCTGATAATTGTTTTGTCAAACTTTTAAAATTCTGCAAATTACATAGATTTTGGTACCAACCCTTGGTTAAATATTTTGCAAATATATTTTCCCATGCTTTTGCTTGTCTATTAACTTTGTTTACAACGTTTATCATTTTTAAATTTAAATCTGAAACAGTCAAATTCATAAATACTCTTCATGTCTTTTGCTGATTAAATCATTTGCAAGAAGGTCTCGTCTACTCCCAAGGTAATAAAGAGGTCTCGTATTTTAATACTGTCTATATTTTTGGTTTTGCTTTTGTCCTTTAGATTATTATTTGAAATTGTGTGAGGCAGTTTTGTTGTTGTTGTTGGAGATGGATAAACACTGTTCAAATGTCACAGATTTTCTAAGATACAATTTTCTAAGAGATAATCAGATTTTCTAAGAGATAATCAGTATCCAAATAATGGCAGATTGTCTTGTCCTCTCTCAGGTTTAAATGAGTCATTTCTTTTTCCTTTCAGCTGCCTGGGTAAAGTTGGTCCATTCGTGTTTATTTTGATTATGAATATATTTAGATTAATCCTCATATTTATTTTGTACTTTTCTTCACCAAGCTTGCTGGCTATTTACTTTTTCACCTTTTCCTAACTTTTGTTGGATTCACCAAACTGTCTTTGCTTCATTTTTCCTTTACTGGTTTGAACATGATAAATTCTAACTTTTTGACTAATAAATATTTAAATCTTTTTTTTTTTTTTTGAGATGGAGTCTTGCTCTGTCACCCCAGGCTGGAGGGCAGTGGCACAATCTCGGCTCACTGCAACCTCTACCTCCCGGGTTCAAGCAATTCTCTGCCCCAGCCTCCCAAGTAGCTGGGACTACAGGCGCCCGCCACCATGCCCAGCTAATTTTTGTATTTTTAGTAGAGATGGGGTTTCACCATCTTGGCCAGGCTGTTCTTGAACTCCTGACCTCATGATCCACCTGCCTCAGCCTCCCAAAGTGCTGGGATTACAGGCATGAGCCACCACATCCGGCTAATACTTAAATCTTAACACCCATTATACCTGTGATTTTAAGGTTATCTACAGCTAATTATATCTCAATACCCTAACCTGGAACAATATAAGGGAGGCTTGCTTTTCCTTTCATTCTCCTCCTAAATTCTACGGTCACATCCAATGCCTCATCCCATTTTGATATCACCTGCAATTTTATTTCCACATTATCAAACACAAATGCTTTACATTTTATTAGTAATGCTTTAACCATTATTTTATAAATGTCTTTGCTCATTATACCTTTTGCTACTCCACTTCTTCCTAGATTCATTTTCAACTTGAAGAAGTACAACTTCAAGAGAAGATCTGTGAGATACCTGTAATCCCAGCACTTTGGGAGGCCAAGGCAGGTGAATCACCTGAGATCAGGAGTTCGAGACCAGCCTGGCCAACATGGTGAAACCCCGCCTCTACTAAAAATACAAAAATTAGCCAGGTGTGGTGGCATGCACCTGTAATTGCAGCTACTCAGGAAGCTGAGGCAGGAGAATCACGTGAACCCAGGAGGTGGAGGTTGCAGTGAGCCGAGATTGCAGCACTGCACTCCAGGCCTGGGTGACAGAGTGAGAGTCTGTCACAAACAAACAAACAAACAAAAAAGATGATCTACGATTAGTAATCTTTCTAGGCTCTGCGTTTCTCAAAAGAATTTACTTTTCTCATTTACTTTAATGACAGTTTGGTTAAATTTAGAATTCTAGGTTCTGATATTTTTCCCCTCAGAACTTTACACTTATTACTCCATTTTTTTTTCCTGCATCCAGTGTTGCTGCTCAGAAGCTTCTTGTCTCTCAGCATTTTTCTAAAGCCTTGATTTCTCAAGGTTCATTATAAAGAATTAAGGGTGCACATATGTGTACATTTATTTTTCATTGCCTCTGTTGGCTCTTTCAATAAGAGATGCAATGTCTTTTCATTTCTGGGAAGTAATGTTGCATTATTTGAGTATTTCTTACTCTCTTTTAAAAATATTTCATCAACTCAAATTTTAATTTCTATATTCTCTACTGGATTCTTTTTTATGAAGGTGTCTGTATCTTATAGTTCTCTGAGATTATAAAACACACATGTTCTGAATATCTGTTCTGCCTACAAGCATGTTTTTTCAGGTGTAAATTCTCCTGTTTGTTGAGTTTCTTGGCTTTCCTCTGTTGTTGATTCTGGACACGGAACCAATCTTGCTAGTTGAGTCTCACCATTGGGTACAAGAGTAGGACAATATGCTGCAGCTACTCTATCTTGGGGAGAACAGAGGAGGGCAGAATGTTCCATGGGGCAGGGTACTCACTCATATCCTGAGCTACCCAAGGCACTGCGCCCTTTCTCTCCTACCCACGAGCCCCCATTCATGGTCTGTCTCAAAGACAGAGAGTTTCTACTGTTTTTTTTTTTTGAGACAGAGTCTTGCTCTATCACCCAGGCTGGAGTGCAGTGGCTCAATCTCGGCTCACTGCAAGCTCTGCCTCCTGGGTTCACACCATTCTCCTGCTTCAGCCTCCCGAGTAGCTGGGACTACAGGCACCCACCACCATGCCCAGTTAATTTCTTTTTGTATTTTTAGTAGAGACAGGGTTTCACGGTGTTAGCCAGGAAGGTCTCAATCTCCTGACCTCGTGATCCGCCCACCTTGGCCTCCCAAAGTGCTGGGATTACAGGTGTGAGCCACTGCGCCCGGCCGAGAGTTTCTATCGTTATTGCCTACACCAAGGTGGGCCCAAAGAGGTCATCTCTGCAGAATGAGAAAATTCTCACAAATGCCGTTATTCCAAGAAAACTGCTTAAATTTCAAAACTCAAAGTTTTAAGTTTCCTCTCACATACATTCTATGACAGTTCTTACATGTTTTGAGCATTTTTAAAGATTTGTAAACCAACAAAATGCTAAAGTAGCAATTTTACTATTATCATAAATAAGGACATGGTGGTACAATCATAACCATTTTTAAAATACCAATTTTAAAGGCACTATGTGGAAACAAAGCCCCTGAAAGCTACTATTCCAACTCATGCTGGAGGTTTAGTCACACCCCTGGTCCAGAATGCTTCGTGGGTAACTTTCATATTCGAAAAGTATTCTTCACAGAACAGGCTTCTGCGAACTCACAAGGTGGAAGGCATGGAGCCTGGAGCTGTAACATCCTACTGCAAACATAGGGAAGACCACATTGGAACAGTGTGCCCCTGCCAAAAGCCATGTGCTCCCTTCTTTACAGGTCTATAAAATGGCATGTGTGATTAAATAAGATTTCACTGAAGTGCTGGAAGCCACACACAGTTGAAACATGGACTTGGGGATGGCAGCAATGCCACCAGCAACAGATAGTGTAATGTACCCCCCGTGAGAGGGGAAAGGTGGGAAAGGAATTTTTAAAAATCTTTGGTCACGTTATTATTAATCATGTTATTTAATAACTGTGAGTACTATTTAAAAAGCAACACGTCCCATTTCCTTCATACCATGAAAGCCAAGTCTGCCTGGGCTGGAGCGTGGAGCCCAACACTGGTTTTCAGAGGCTCAGATTCTTACATGGTCCTCTTAGTGCGTGCTTACCTCACAGAGTGGATAGATATCCACATGAATTTGACAGATTACACATAGGTAATGCTTTAGAGTTTTTTGAACATTTTCAGAAACAGTATTTTTAAATTTTATTTGCAAGGAAAAAATGCTTATCAGTGGCAAGTCAGGTAGGGTCATGTTCAACATTGGTCAATTATCTCACCCATTCTGATCACTTGCTCTGTTCCCGCCACTGGCTCTTCTTCTCCCTCTTAAATATATTCAGGCTCCAAGGCCCGCTCTCTAGACTCTTTTCTATCTTTTAAGAGACAAGGTCTCACTCTGTCACCTAGGCTGGAGCACAGTGGTGCAATCAAGGCTCACTGGAGCCTCCAATTCCTAGGCTCAAGTGATCCTCCCACCTCAGCCTCCTGAGTAGCTGGGACTACAGGTGTGAGCCACCGTGCCCCAGCCCTCTGTTTTATAATTAGCTATAAATTCAGCTACTCTCGTTCTGCCGATGAATCTCAAATCTCTATCATCAACTCCAAACTACATTCTCAACATCAGATTTGCATTTCCCCTGCTCTGCTGAACATCCTGACATGAATAGCTGTCCAGGAATTCCAATTATTCCCTGAGTTGTCTACCATAACACAAATTTGTTCCTTTCCTTGTCTGAGTCACCTCAGTAAATAGCATCGACATTCACTAAGATGATCAAAACCTGGGATTTGGCTCCTCCTTTTGTACAACTCCTACGTTTAAATCCAATTCCTGTCTTTTCTACTTCAAAAACATAGTCTTGAATTCATCCATACTTTTCCATCTCAATTTCCACCAGCCTGGTCCAAGATGCTCATTTTTCACCTGAGCTACTTCAGTAACTTCCTTATCTACTTTTGCCTCTGTGCATTTATTTGTCTACACAGCAACCAGAATAATCTTTTAAAACATGAATGTAGTCAGGTTACTTTCATTTTACAAATTCTTTTAAGGCTTCCTGTAGAATAAAATCCAAATTCCGTCTCATGATCTTCAGGGCCCTGCCTAGGTGGTCTGCCCTAGTTCTAGTTGTATTCGCCCATCTTAATCTCTCAGTATGCCAAGCTCTCAGCTGCCTCAGGGCTGCCAATCATGGTGTTCTTTCTGCGTACGATGTGTTTTTCTTCTATGCTTCCTATAACTGGCTCCTTCCCAGACTTAAATGTCATCACTGTTCTACTCTCCCTACTCTTTTAAAGTAGGTTTCTTAATACCAGCCCTCTTCAGCCAAACCTAAACTTTCCACAATTTGTAATTATACAATGGGTTACTTATTTGCTCTTTTGTCTCTTGCGCTTGCTAATTATAAGTTTATCTGTCCTGTTCATGACTATATAAACTATGCCTGGCACAGTACCTGACACACTGCTGACTCTCAAAAATGGGCTGAAGAAATTTTCTCTATTACCCTTTTCATTGCCATTCCCCTATTATACAGTTGTCTGTTTAGGATTGGCTCTCCTGACTACGTTGTGAGATCTTTAAGCCGGGAGACCGTCTCTTATCTTTGCTCGGCACAATATCTGACACACTGTGGGCCTATTCATAAAGAATGAATGGTTAAGATTAGGTACTCAGTAACCTTTTCCCCAAATTGTATTAGACCTGACATATAAAATCAGTGTGCGAGATGTTGTTTAGAATAAGTAGTTTTGAGAGGTCAAACAACAATGACACTGGTAGTAATAACAGCACATTTTGGATAAGGCTGTTTGGATAACAAAACTCGAATGATGGAAATAGTAGTTAGAAATCACTCAAAGTGAGACTCAAGGGAGCTGACCCTCCCTCTGGATGTCAAAATCTATCACTGACTTAGCAGTGGGGTCCCTAGAGTGTTTCTCAGAATAGTGCTTCCCACACATGTCAAGAGGGCCTAATGGCTGCTTCTTTCACAAGGGTGGTGGGGAGACACGTGAGGTCAAGTGTCCCACAGCCCATAGAGAAGCAGCTCTCCAGGGAGAGTGGAAGACTCTCCAGGGCCCTGCTTAGCGCAGCCTGAGAGGCTACAGGCCAACAGTGAAGGTGTTGAAAGACACTGAGATCGAATTCCCTGGGGGAAAAACGCTGCCCTGAGATTTAAGGAGAAAGAGGAAACAAGCCAAAAGGGTATGCTCAGAAACTGATGGAAAGGGCTAATGTCATCAGATCAAACCAAAGGAAATTAAAGGAAGATTTAGTGAAAAGAGGGCAAAAACAGAATCAAAGGACCCCAGGGAAGCGCAGACCAATTTAATGAGAAACCAGGAAAGTAGTGAGAACAACAAGGGAGTCTCTCTTCATCTATGTTTAATCCAGACTTCTTGCCATTTAATGCTAATGCTTTGCTCCATTCTTAAGTCATACCCACCTAGGAGTTTGCTTTGGAGTTTGTATGTAGGAACGAAGAGAGACCCACCTTCTATTAGAACACTACATGATCTCACACTATCATTACAATATTCCAGGCGGCTTCCAGATAGCATCTTAGCTGTGGAAATGCTATTCTCTTATGTCCTTCCCAGTTTTCCTAGCGCTGGCTCTTTCCAAAGCTACTCATTCTTATCTCCTTCAACTACTTTCTAAATAAACAAGCTGAGAAAACACACACAACTGATGTTTGCCTACAACTGATGCATTCATCTTGTTCTGAAACTAAGTAGAACTACAGGAGAATCAGAGGAGGGGATTCAGGGATGGCATGTCCTCAGGCCTGTTGCCACGTCTCCATTAGGCTCTGAATATGCGTTTATTTTTATAGCTCCCTTTCATGAACAGGTTGTGTGAGACAGAAGTCTTATTTCCAAGGTTCACTTTACTGAGTGGCCTCCAGTCACTCTTTCCAAGAAGAAAGATGGAAAATTATGGTCCAAGCAGCTTTACCGTCCATCTAGGAACCAAGGAGAATGCTGGACCTCAGCCACTCACCAGCTTAAACTGTCATTTATGAGCAACAAAATGATTGTCTTTGGGTCTCGGCAGCATTATCTTGAGCAGAGTTTGTGGCGGTAAGGCCCAGCTAATCACATTTGTCTAATTTTACATTCCCATCACTTTCACAAATGGATTATTACCTACTATTCACTTAAATAAAACAAAGAATGATCAAGGAATCTTGTCGTTCTAGATGAAAATCATAACATATAAGAAAATAGCATTAGTTTTCATGTTTGTACCACTTTCTAACAAAAGAGTTATAATCATTTCACATTATTGTCTTGTTCATCTTTTTAACGACCCAATGAAGAAAGGACATACAGGCCGGACGCGGTGGCTCATGCCTGTAATCCCAGCACTCTGGGAGGCCGAGACAGGTGGATCATCAGGTCAGGAGATCGAGACCATCCTGGCTAACATCCGTCGCTACTAAAAATACAAAAAGAAATTAGCCTGGCGTGGTGGCGGGCACCTGTAGTCCCAGCTACTCGGGAGGCTGAGGCAGGAGAATGGCGTGAGTCCAGGAGGTGGAGCTTGCAGTGAGCGGAGATTGCGCCACTGCACTCCAGCCTGGGTGACAGAGCAAGACTCCGTCTCAAGAAAAAAAAAAAAAGGACATACAGATTGCTGGCTCTCCTTTATAGCAGAGGTCCAGAATGATGTGACTAACTTAAGAACATGAAGTGAAAGAGGTATGGATAAAGAAAAACATGGTTTATTCACACAACTGAATAATGTATAGTGGTTAAAAGGAATCGGACCCAGGCTGGGTGTGGTGGCTCATGCCTGTAATCCCAGCACTTTGGAAGGCCAAGGCAGGTGGATCACTTGAGGTTGGGAGTTTGAAACCAGCCTGACCAACATGGTGAAATACAAAAATTAGCCGGCATGGTAGCAGGTACCTGTAATCCCAGCTACGTGGGAGGCTGAAGCAGGAGAATCGTTTGAACTCAGGAGGCGGAGGTTGCAGTGAGCCCAGATTGCACCACTGCACTCCAGCCTGGGCAACAGAGCAAGACTCTGTTTCAAAAAGAGACAAAGTAATTAGATCCATATGTATCAACATCAATAGATATTAAAAATTAGGATGCAGAATGGTAAGCCCAATATGGTTCATCCTTTCTGTAGTGCAGAATGTCAGAATTTCTTCTTAATTTGGTAAATTTTGATTACTCCAAGTCGTACAAAGGGAAATTCCATTTTCCAAATTAATGGAGCTAATTGAAATGTGATTTTGTAATTCTTTATCATTCAGCATGTTTTTTTTTTTTCTCACTGGGTTTTTGTAACAGTGAATAGACTCTAGCTTGGCTGTAAGAGCTAACAATTTGGATAATAGTACTGCTTTGCATCTACTGCACTCTGCAGAGGATGATTCAAAAAAGAGGCTACTCATCTCCCCTGAGGATGAAAGATAAACATTTGCGGTTAAAATATTGTCACGACTCAGACAGAAGAAGGGATTTAGCCCTACCACTTGGCTCATGTTCCCTCTTAACCAAATCATATTTTTTTAGTAACCTAATAAAATTACTGGGAATAGAAAGCATACATTCCGACTACTAGAAATATTGATACAACAAAGGAACACGTTAGTAGTTTCAACGTCTTTTACTTAAGGATTTCAGAATTCCTCCCAGTGAACAGGGAGATAGGTAGGTAAAATATAATATTTCCTGGTAGATGACCTAAGGCAAAACTCTTTATCTGCTGGCACCTATGTATATTTGCTACACATCGAATGTTTTGTCATCCCCTAGAGGAAAGACACTGGTGGATGGCAAGAATGTCAGTATTTGTTTACTTGGAGCAAGAGGCAGGTCATTTGGTGACAGACTCAAAATGCAATGTGCAAGAACTCAGAAACTGGATAGCAAAACTCCAGCCCAAATGAAGCAAAATTTCCTTCTCTGCTTTCTCAAGGTCTACTCTAGTTAATATTGATGTAACTAGACAAATACCCAATAACAAAAATTTGCCATGCAATATATAATCTAAGATGGCACAACAGTTTATGAGACCAAGCTATTATTCCTACTAAGTTAAAAACATGCGCTCCGGCGAAAGTTCTGTCAACCTTACAGCTCTTTAAATGCATGCATCCAGGAGGACTAGACAAGCCATCTTCTGCTTCCAGCTGCTAGTGTTTCTAGCTGGTGAATAACACAGGCCCCCAGGAGAGGGGGGTGAAAGATAGTTTTCAAAGATTGGAAAATTTCCTCCAACTTACATTAAAATTAATATTAAGGGCTCTATATGTGGCTGCTGGAGTAGAATGGTGGGAATCTAATCAAGAGCCCGTGCCTTCCTTTGAGGCCAGTTTCCTAAAATTGGTTCTCTGTGCCTATATTGCATGAGCTGAAAGCATATGGATGCAATCACATTCCAAGATACCTTATTTGGTGTTGGTATGGACTGGGCATATTGTCTCAGCTTACAAAAGCAATAAGGATTCTCTGACTCCTGCCAATCCATGTAAATCACTCTTTTACCTGTTTAAAGGGTAAGATTCGTGAGTGAGGAAAATAGTTACAACTATTTTGTTACCAGCATATATAACCATGTTCTATATCTAGATAGAACTCTTCAAGTTGTGAGACCTCAGTAGTGGGAAGGGAGACAAGATTTAGACAAATACCCACACAGAAATGAGGGGGGACACATTTCTCCCACGTGGCAGAGTTAGGAGGTACTGAATCCAAATTTTGTCCTTATGTAGAGACCTTATGCTGGTTGAGAAAGCAAAATAACTAAATAAGGATTACTTATATCTGCAACTCATTTTAATGTCTTCTTTATTTTTAAAAGCAAATGGACTAGTGAAGGGAAATTCACTTCTCTGAATACAGGATCATCCCACATTCAGGCTATCCAAAATTTGGGGGATCTGGAAGGCCAAAGACCAAAAATAAAGTAAAAAAAAAAAAGTAAATGAAGTTATTGGATATGAAATAACAAATGACAGGAGATTAAAATCTTCTAATTCTTGTGTCTGGCCATATAACTGAGTGCCACTGACCATTAGATAAAGACAGATTTTTAAAAATAATCACCCCTATTGTAAGGGATAGTCACTCCTGACTCATTGTCTTCTCTTCTTCATTAGTTTGATTGTTTTTCCCTCCAGATCACATTTTTGGAGTTGTTCTTTTGGTGAGATAGTGGTTGAAATAGTTTAATTTTCCTTTTTGAGTCCTGTTTTCACCTCTAGATGAATTTGCTTTTATGAAGGAATTCCATTCCATTTATGATCTAAATGAGGAGGAACTCCTTTAAATTCTTTCCTTTTTTGGACAGCTTCAACCTGTATTTCACTGAGTACCACTGCATGGTAAGTAAAGAGGATACTATAAATAAAGTGTGAAATAGACATCTTCCCTCTCGTATCAGCTAAGTAATTTCTCAAATATTTAAAAATTGAAAGAAGTGCCACAGAGGTAACAGAAAGAGGGGCAGTTATATTATTGAGTAGAAACCTAATTTTCCCAGGAGTATATGTAAGAAAAGCCCTCCCTGTCCGAGGAGACGTCATCATGTGAACTCACATATGAAGAAAGGTGGAAATCAATTAGGGGTAGGAGCAGCGAGGGCCCTGGGGAGTGTTCAAGTAGTGCAAATGACATCTAAAGACGGGATGAAATGTAACCTTTCAGATCGGGAGGGCAGGATCCAAGCCACCAAAAAGTCTAGTGGTTTGTATCCTCCAAACACCCCCCACCACTATAATCTCCCGCCACTTACTCAACCACTCTAGTCCAAGGCACCAAACCCCCATGCTGGATTCTTAACCTGTCCTGATTGAGGTCCTCCTTTAAGTCACATAGATCCAGCCCATCTGAGTTCAATTTCCTCCTTTGTAAAATGGAGATAATAATAGTGCTTTCCTCAAGGGTTTTTTTATTCAATGAGAAATGAGATATTACTTAGTATCAAACTTGGCTGAGAGTATTAAATAAATGTTAGCTAATATTATTTTTACTTTTTTTTTTTGAGACAGGGTTTCGCTGTGTCAACCAGGCTGGAGTGCAGTGGTATGATCTCGGCTACTGCAACCTCCACCTCCTGGATTCAAGTGATTCTCCTGCTTCAGCCTCCCGAGTAGCTGGGAATACAGGCACCTGGCTAATACCGTTGCTAATAATATAACGCACATATCATGGAAGCTTGGGAAGTTTTTATAAAACAGGTGGGGCTTGATGGCAGTTTTGAAGGGTATTTGCTGCTTGCCTAGAACACGGGAAGTGGAGCTGGCAGTCCAAGCTCAAGGAGCCCCAGGAGCCAGGGCTTTGCAGAGGCTGCAGGGGAGGAAAGTGTGTGTGGGGTGGGGAGGTTGGTATTGCATAGGTCCAGGGAGGCAATCATGAGACTCCCTAGACCACAGGAAAAATCTTTTGTGGGAATAGTAAGCTTGGACAAGTAGACTAGAGACTATGAAGATAATCTCTCAGAGACTGACACAAATAATCCACTCATGCAAATAATCTCAAAGAATGCAGCCTTTTTTTTTTTTTTTCTAACTTCTGATTCTTAAGGATGAAGAATGTGGGTGGGGATGCCTGTTCCCGGTGTCAGTAAGTAAAATCTTCTGGTGGGGAAGTATTTTGAATATTTGCAAAGAAAGTTCAATGCTCTCCAAAGTGGAGGTAGAAACTGGCACCAGGGATTTCTGTGTACCTGCCTAGAAATACAGGGCTTTAATCTACAGCCAATGTGAACTTTTGTAACTCTTTAAAACATCATCATTTCTGAGGGACTTCAGACTCTGTTCTGTAGGTCAGCACCAGACCAACAATATAGAGTTCCTGTGATCACTTATGATTTGAAACACAAACTCAGGCTTTGAATGTTTTAAAAACACCCGTATAACTATGGGTTGTTTAAAAATAGCTATACCCCAAAGAGTTTATTTCCAACATCTGACATGAATGCATTTTGCAGCGATTTGTTATGCAAATAATGGTAGCAGGGAAGACATATGAAAAAACATTGACCCTTCTCAAAGCCCGATGGATTTAATGCTTTTGTTAATTCTGAATTCCAAGTCTAGGGGTTGTCTGTTTGTGGTGTATAAAATAAAATACTATATGCCTGCCTCAACTTTCCTTCTGATGAAGCTGTAATTTGCAAAGGAGCTATTGTTCCTCTATGGCTTCCCTAATTTTTCTTCACAGACAACTGTGCTTCAGTGTGGAGAGGGGTTTCAGTGTATTGGCTGTTGAGATGATGCTGTGAGTATTTTCAAGGCAGAGGGGGCTGGGTGCGGTGGCTCACACCTGTAATCCCAGCACTTTGGGAGGCCGAGGCGGGCAGATCATGAAGTCAGGAGATCAAGATCATCTTGGCCAACATGGTGAAACCCTGTCTCTACTAAAATACAAAAAATTAGCCAGACATGGTGGTGAGTGCCTGTAATCCCAGCTACTTGGGAGACTGAGGCAGGGGAATCGCTTGAACCCGGGAGGTGGAGGTTGCAGTGAGCTGAGATCGCGCCACTGCACTCCAGCCAGCAGAAGGAAGAGCTTTTTGAGATGGAGACTCAGGTAGTGCTTGGAATTGCTGATAATCCAAGGCCTGATGATACGGGGGTTATTTGCTGAAGCTTCTATTTCAACTCTCCTTTATGACCCCGGGTTACCTAAATATGTTGCCTTCTAATGTTGTTTTGTGAGAGGTAGGAAGTAGGGTAGACATCATCAGTCTTAGATTTGTCAATGGGAGAAAACCAAGGGACAGACTTTTTTGCCGCCATTTTGTCCTTCTAAAGTGTTAGCTCCTTTTTCCCACTTTACAACTCCTCCTTTCTCCCCTCCTCCTCTGCTCTGCTCTTCTCCACCGCCACCACTCCCAGCAGCTGTTTATTAAATGCCCACTGCATGCTAGCTTTCTAATTTCTTCTTGTCTCTAATGGTCATATTTTAGGATGTCATTCCTCTACTGACAGCTACCACTTCTAGAGTAATCCTAACCTGTAATTCTTTTCTTAGAGGATAAGTAGAAAATACGTAATGGGAGGTGGGGGGAAATGGTTTTGATCTGCAATTAGTGTAACTGATAGGGAGGAAAGGGCTTGGGTTAAGGGAATGTCTTATGAAGCAGCAGCTGTTTTATAAGGGACTCATCTGGAGAAGTGGGGTGTATCCTCTACTGATAAGGGAGAAGACCCACAGAAAGCCAACTAGCATCAAAACAGCCCCAGCATCCAAGCACAGAGGAAGTGAGCCTTCTGACCCCCATGATCTAATAAGCCCCAATATTAGTCCATACAGGAGATGAGCAACATCCCAGGGTGAGTGAGTCAGTCACTCAAGTCCCCGGCCCAAAAGTGTAATGGACTTTGTTTTATGGTTTAATGGACATTTAGCTGAGTTAAAAGGGTTAACAAGTCTGAACACTTCTCTGAAACCTGATGAGATATCCAAGCATCTTTTTTCTGAAGGTCTCCATTGAAAATACCACTTATGAGTAACTTCTGTAAAGAAAACCCATCTGAAAATACCAGAGATGAACCAGCTGCTTTTTTCCCCCTGAACTCTTAGCAAATGATCTAAGGGCTTAAACACATTAAAGGCCACAATTTCAACTTCTGGAATCAATAGGGCAAAGGAATGTGGGCATATTCATTTAAATATGAATTTGCTGACTCCATTCTTACTCTCTTGGGTTCCTCCATAAGCCCAGACCTTACACTAAAAGGCAGCTACTTCTCACACTGCAGCAGGATTTTGAGAACCATCGCCCTTTGTCATCTTCACCCTGACCCTTCTCATCATTTTTTCTGATTCTCAGAACCTCCTGGCATTTATTTCCAATTCAGTTCTGTTTCCTTTCACCAACTTGGGTTAGTTGAGGCTGGACCCTAGCATGCCTGTTTTGTCATACTCTGATGAAAAGCAAATTAAATTCTTGGATGGTAAACTCTTTTCTTAAACTTCTGTCTGGTTCTTCGGGAAAAAATTAAAAATTATATTTCTGTTAATATCAACCAAAATATTGAATCCATCTCAGGATCCTACATCCCTTGACCAACAAGCTGATAAAACTGCCTAGCTCATCTTAGTCAACCTCTTCCTCTCACATGGTGTGTGGAACAGAACTTGGTCTCCCTTGGGCTTCAGTAGTAGCAAATTGAGGAAGTAAGACCTTAATTACATATAACCATGTTTCCACCCTACGTTAGCTCTGTTCCCTTGCCCTTTCACATTTCAAGCTGCCTCAAGGAGGAAAAAATCAGACAGATAAAACACAAACAAAAGACAGAAAACAGGAGCTCAAGGGCTAAATCAAGACTATTAATAGTTCCTCCAAACAAAGAAACCGACTGCCATCATCCAAGCTCTGTTCATCTAATTCTTCCTTTCTCCAAATGTGGCTGAAACTCATCTCCCTTTTAGCCTTCTCTTACTCCCACCGTTATTATTTTCAGCAATTTTTCCCTAAGACAAGGCAGCAGCAGCAAGAAGTGAGAAAATAAAGGTAATCTAGGTAGTACCTTTCTTTGAACAAATAGTTTTCCATCTTTTTCTTATTTCCACTGATCTTGAAAACAGAATCACTGTTTAAAGGGGAGAAGCCCTAGTTCCCTCTGATCACCTTGGTTAATTTTAGAATGGGTGCTTCATATTCACCACACAGAGAAATCTAAGGCTTTTATTCAGGTGAACCCTTCAAAATGATAACATTATGACACCAAAGCTTTTAAAAGTCTTGCTGTTCTGAAACTGCCATTGCAGTTTGGCTTTGTGGCTTTGGATACTCTCAGAGGGAAGGCATCACCTTTGTTAGAGTTTGTGAATTTAAATTAGTTTGGGTTTGTTTGGAAGCAGAGCAACATCAGAAAATCCAGTCCCTTTCTACCTAAAAGCACAAGGCTGCTAGTGAGCAGGCCCATGAGGAAGAGCTGGAGGAGAGGGCAGGACACAGGGATGTCACCCAGCCTAGCTGGGATACGTGTCAGGCCTGACCACGTAATCACAGATACTCATGAACAAGGGAAAGCAGACTATTCAGATACAATGAAAACTGATTTTAAATACGAGGCATCTCTTATTTTATTATTTTTTCTAAATCGTGGCTCTAAAAAAATAAACTTAGAATTATTTTCCTCTTCCAAAGTGAAATATCTTTTTCTTCCTGGCTTAGACCACCAACCAGGTTTCTGCTGCCGGAAGCCGGGAAAATACTGGATATTCTTTGAGGAAGCCTGATCAGATGCCCTATTATCCCAATTTCCAAACCAAAGATGCTTGGAGATGAAGACACACTTTTTTGGTGTGTGTTCTAAGTTGCAACCTCAAAAACTTGGCAGTTTTCTCACCATGGACTGTGATTTCCATGATGTGATGGTTTGGAAGGGTTTGTTTTCAAATAGATGTTATGGGGTGATTCCAAGGGAATTCTATTTCAATCCTCCTGAGTTGACAACCTTTCCTTCTTAAGTGTAACTTTGGTGTTCAGATAACCTTGGGACACAGACAAGGAAGATTCCCAGTGGTAAATGTCTGTGTGGTACAAAATGGGAAGGCAGAAAGTGAAGCTTGTAAAGTCATGAAAATAAGAAAGAAAGAGCTTTTCATGCATTATCTTTCACACTGTTCTTCTTTTTCTGTTTTTATTTTATTATTATTATTTTTTTGAGACAGGTTCTCACTCTGTTACCCAGGCCGGAGTGCAGTGGCATGATCATGGCTCGCTGCAGCCTCAATCTTCTGGGCTCAAGTGTTCCTCCCACCTCAGCCTCTCTGTACCTGGGACTACAGATGCATGCTATCATGGCCCAGCCAGTTTTTAAAATTTTTTGTAGGATGTGGCCTCCCTATGTTGCCCAGGCTCGTCTTGAACTCCTGGCCTCAGGTGATCCTCCCACTTTAGCCTCCCAAAGTCCTGAGATTACAGGTGTGAGCGACTGCTCACAGCTGGGATTACAAGGCTGCTCACTAGCAGCCTTGTGCTTTTAGGAAGAAAGGGACTAGATTTCTGATGTAGCTCTGCTTCCAAACAAACCCAAACTCATTCAAATTCACAAACTCTAAAAGGTGATGCCTTCCCTCTGAGAATGTCCAAAGTCACAAAGCCAACTGCATGGCGGTTTGGGAATGGCAAAACTTTTAAAAGCTTTTGGTATCATAATTTACTTTTATTTAGGAGGATAGTATAGTTCACATTTTCTCCTTTTTCACAGGTTCTATTTAGTGTCATTTATAGTAGCAATAATTCATATTCTAACTTAGCTTTACCTCAGCAACTCTTTCTCCCCTTACTTTTAGTCTCAGTACTACAAATGCCCGCATGCTTTCTCCCCAGAACCGAGGCCTTCATATTTTTCTCCCTAAGCTGTATATGTCTTACAAACTTGTAAAATGAATGTAAATGAATGTAAAACTTTCCCCTTGTTTGGTGAAGAACAAGAGGATACACCCATTGCTTGAGCATACATCTCCCTCAGTCTCTCTCTTTTTTTTTAGAATGCAAAGTATTTTCTTTTTAAACTTTTAAAATCTGAAAACAAGCTAGCCTATGTTAAATAACATAGTTTCCAAAGCTGAACGTGCTCACTTGGAGCCCAGTTTTCTGCTTCAAATACAAACACAACTTCCTGACACTCCTAGGTGGGAACACTACTGTTTGACGATCTGTGATTAGATGAACTGATCGATCTCAGTGGGTAACATTCCTTTATTTTTTCCTTGGTAAAGGTTTAAAAATTCTAAAATAGATGCATTTTTTTTTTTTCAGTTTTACACTGACAATTTCATTCCAATTGTCTCCTGGGAGACACAGACCATGTACAGGAATCCATCTTCATCCTTCTCACTCTGCTACAATGCTGTGTCTGTTCACCGCCAGGAGGAAGGCTTGATTAGCACTGAGCTGGAAGGACCTTCTAATGATCTTGATGAGCTCACTCAGGTTGATGTGGTCCAGTACAAGGAACATTGCTTTATCCAGGACGGGAAGCTGCTTCTCAGCCTTGTATCGTTCTGTTACTACCAAGATTTTGGGTGGATGCTGCTCTCGGAGAAGTCAAACTTCTACTCTTTGTTCAAAGGTGTGGTGTGGCCTGAAGGTCTTCTCTGATGTCATGGTGCAGGGATCTGGGTGGTGGTGGCGACATAAGGGTTCTGGCGGCTCCTGGGGGTGGCGGTGGCAGTGAATCTAACTCTGGCGACAGTGACTTCTCTTGTCTCCCTCAGTCTCTTTATTATATGCTTGATCCATCAGAAAGTCTCAAGGTTCTATGCACCTCAGCAACCCCAGTGATAAGGCAAGGGGTTCATGGACTGAGTCCTGAAGCCCTCTTGTGTTTAGAGATTGGGAAGATGAAGAACCAGCTTAGGAGATTGAGGAATGCCCATGAAGTAGAGAGAAGACAAAAGAGGGTTAGGACCTAAAGCAAGGAGGAGTTTTCAATCCATCATTTGATCAGCTATATCTAATGCTCCTGAAAGGTGGAGTAAGATTTTGCGTCAGATATATAGGGTCTTTTAGACTGGAATAGTGTCTGATTCTTCTTTTTTTCCTCAGAGTCTCACATATAGTAGATAACTTATAAATGCTGAATGAACAACTGAAAAAGAATAGTAGTGATTGGTCACAGAGAATGGGATGTGCTCTCTGTTAATTCCTTGCCCATCAACAGATGCCCATCCTAGGGCAAAATGGGAGAAAGACTATCATTTCCACAGTCCTCATGCTGAATGGATCCCAAGTGCTATTGCCTCATTTATGTAGCATGATCCAGAGACACTTCCAGTCTGAAGAACTTCAAAGGTTTTAGGAGGCTGAGGTGGAGGGCTCGGGGAGCAATGAAGGCAAGAGGGAAAGGGATGAACAACCACAATAAAAGGCCGGCACGTTCACAACAATGTTGGGCAAAGACAGTGATTCCTGAATATGAAGGAATCTGGAGAGCGAGTCACAAGAAACTGAAAACATAAGGGGGTGGAGGAGATGCTGAGAGAAAACAGAAAGCTATGAAAGAAGGCAGACGCTCAAACCGAGGTAAGAGAGAAAAAATTAAAAGCGGAAGGGGAGAAAGAAAAAAAATCGGAGAGGTGAGGCCAATGTATGGAAAAAGAGCAAAGGAAACACAGGGCCATTGTCTGATGCTGAGAACAGTCTGGAGACTGAGCAACTGGTGCCCGATTTCTGTGCATCTCAAGAGGAGATAAATGGCAGATTGAAGGGACCCTCTTGGCATTCTGGATCCAAGAGGAAAACATAGCAGGCGCAGTGAAATGCTCAAGTAAACACAAACAGCAGCAGCCGTGGGGTTACGAGTGACCTGACTGCAGGCTCTGTCCTCTCCTGGCCTCCAGCCTGTGTGTACAACACACATGCCCGCTTAAAGCCCCGCTTAAAGCGGGAGGGCAAAAATCTCCTGCAACTGGGTGACCTCTGTTGTCAGCATTTGGCTAATTAAGGAAAGATATTACCCTACAGATCTCTATGCCTTGGTCCTACTTCCTGCTCGTTAAAAAATGGTTTAATGAGAAAAAAATCAAGGCAACAGAATCCAAATTATTATTTTTTCTCCCAAATGAGCTGAATGACAGTGGCTGTTGCCAGAACGCTTGAACAATAGGATTGTGACACGAAGACTGAAATCTAAACAACATGAAGAAATCTCGAGAGCCCAGCAGTCCCCATTATCTCATGCTTGCACGACGATAGTCCAAAAGATGAGTGATGAGTCTCCATTTGTGCAAGCACAGCAGCAGTCCAAGGCCCTGACACAGCCACTAATTGCCCATCTGCTTGTTTACACAGCCCAGAGATGGTGACTGGACAAACGGCTCATTTCCCTTGAAACGGGACCAAACTGGGAGGAGCCTGTCACATGGGACAGAGGAGGACTAGGAAGAACTCTCATGAGAAAGTGCCCCCAGATCAAAGCCAAGGACCAGCAAGCCAAGCAAAGATGGGTTCCAGCGGCTGGCTTCTCACAGGCAGCTTCGGGTCTACCGCTTTCTGCACCCTGCCCACCCACTCCCAGCAGAACTGGAACCCCTCTCCCTGAGGACAGGACATTTTGAACCATTCACGTAAAAGTCTCAACCACGGAGCGTCAGCACCAACCCACCCTTCAGGCGTTGGCAGCAAGGACAACTGTGTTCAGGTGAACTTCTAGCCCTTTCAGACTTCACTGGATGCTTGGCATTTGCTACACTAGTTCCCATTTTAGTGTTCTGCTTGTCTCGTAGACTGGACTGTAAACAACTTGAGCACAAGGGACCTGAAGCCCCCGGATTCCACAGCAGGGCACTTTACATGTGAAGAGCCATTAGCCAGGAAATGCTTATGGTTGTTAATGATGATAAGCTACTCCAAACATAGTTTCTTTTATCTGCCTACATCAGAAGCTTGGCTTCTTGAGACAAGAGACTCAGACTTCTCATTTATACTCTTGACAGACTGTGGAAATCAATAATGGCTTGCACCCATCAGTGTCCTGGAAGTAGGATTGAGAGAGAAGATTCTCTTGAGAACCGATTTCTCCTCAAAATAAGATTAGGCTTGAAAAAAAAAAAATCAACCTCCCCACTGCTTAGCTCACAGGTATGGTGCTAATGGCAGCAACTTAGTCATGAAATGGGAAACAACAATGTAAAAAATCCTTGTTAATTTGCTTATAATTATCCAGAACTAACTACAGGTACACTGAAGAACTGTATACTTGATGGGAGGGAGATCTACACCGCTAAGTCAATAAGACCAATTTCCGATTTTTCCCTGTGAGCATTTATTTGCAGAGCCACATATTGGCAACATAAGAAACTAGTGTTGAACAAACCTAAGAAGTGATGAATCCTCCCCGGGAGGAGAGCTGCAGCCCTGAAATCCAAAGCAGAATGGGCTGGGGGCAGCTTGAGGTCTGTGGGCGAAACTCAGCACTCCCAGTCTAGGGTGCTGCTCACCCATTAACTTGGCCTCCTCTTGCCACTGTTGTTTTAGCCCTTAGTGAGCATCTGTGTGGCTCAGATTTAACCAGACCAAAGGGGCTGTGGTGGTGAGAGGGCAGAGAAAGCTGGAGGAAGAAATGGCTTTTTTTCTGGAGAGGAGTGAGGACTAAGTCACTTCAAGGATGATCATATTCCCAGGAGGAGCCATGATATGATATTATTTGAATATCTAGCTCCACGCAGCTCTATTTTTCCCTTCTCACTACTAGAAGATTGTAATCACCCGGTATCAGCACATTCAAGATACTACCGAGGACCTAACAGCATGCCCAAAACCTCTCATCTCTGCACATAACTGCGTACAAATGACTAAAATCACTTTGCTTCAAAAACAGAGTAGCTGTGTGAAAGGCATTTTAGAGCATGTGGGATTCCACACACAGGCAAGTTCCAGGGATCTCAGAAGCTTGGCTATTTCGTTCAGTGCCAAGGAGGCAAAGATGAGGACAGGCAGTCGTGTGGGTGGGAGGCAGTCCTTGGATGATTAGCACAGGTGTCCAGGAGGGAGGGGAGGGTATGGAAATGGTACAAACATGAGAGGAAGCTGTGCCAGTGGGTCATCATGCCCCATTTGTACAGAACATTGAGTGGACTGTAACTGTGGACAACTGAAATACCGAAAAGAAAATGTGCACACACTGTTTAAATTCTAAACAGTGGGAGAATCGTTGTTTAAAGAAGAACAGATAATTGCTCATTCCACCCTCCCCAGTCTTTGAAAGATAGACACAGGAGTGTCACACAGTACAAGAGTTTGTATTACACAGAAAGAGGGACTTACAGACAGAAACAAAATTTAAAAACAAACAAACCACCAGCATTTATCACCGTTTATCCAGCCAGTGGTTTTCTTTATCCCCTTGGCTATTACTTTAGATATTTTTGCTTGGAACTTCTCCCCCACTTTTTCTGACAGCTCATTGATCTTGGGTTGGATCATCACAGTTCGTGGGAAACAATACAGGCTACTTTTCTAGCTTATTCCTTCTTAGATGCCTCTTGGATATTGTCCATTTAATATGTTTGAGAAATATAGAGAGACAAAACACACAGTGTTTTAATCTCAGAGTATATGTAGTGTGTCCCTGGAGAAGAAGTCTCATATATCCAAGGGAATCATTCCATTATTTTAAAGTAAGGCTTGTATTTCAGATTGATCCACCTGGAACATGTAATCAAAACTCATGAACTTTAATATAAATTCCAGATTCTGGTTTCTTATCTATATTTTTGGGAACATAACATTGGTAGATAAACTAATTGAAAAAAATATTTTCAATGTTGATTTAGAAATGGCTTTTAACTATTTCTACACATTCCATCACTCCATCTCAGAAGAAGCGGAGTAGAAAACTGCAGCAAATGGGACTTTATATTAAAGTCCTAGGAAATATATTCTGGCTGATGTGATGGTTCTTGTGTGTTTCAGTAGGCATGTAACATGTGAATCGCTTTGTGGAACTGGGTTCGTGAGGCTAGTATTTATGAAGCTGTATATTTCCTTCTGTGTAGTAACACAGAGAGTGATTCAGGAGAATGAGAAAATCCTGTTTCCTGGAAATACCATCCATCCTGAAGGAGTTACGAGAACCAGAACAGATATGTATTTTGCTATTTATCTCACACTTAAAGATTATACAATCCATTTTCCTAGGGCAAGCACAAATGGTCAGTTTTATAAATCTTGATGGACTAAGTCAAGTAAAAAAGCCCACTAGTTAAGAGTCCAGATATCGAGAGACACAAATCTGAGGAACGATCAATTAGGACACCGTGGTAGCTTGTCTCCAAGATGTCCATCATCAGCTCTTTCCTTCCCTGCATGTTTGTGCTGTTCTCTAGTTGAACGGTGGCGTCTATTCACTCCCTTAAAACTGGACTGGACTGTGACTTCTCTGAACAACAGTGACGTGATGTTTCATTCCCAGTGTTTGAGAGGATAGGAAATTTCTAATTTCTTTTCCTTGGAACATTTGCTCAGGAAAAAGCCAGTAACTATGTAAGAAGGCTAACTACTGCGAGACCACCATGCTATGAGAAAGCGCAAGCCATGTGGAGTGACTGCACGGGCTCTCAGAGATGCCCAGCCAAGCCCCACCCTCCATCCACCCGAGCCGAGGCTCTGCAGCCTACAGATGATTTCAATTCCAGCCATAATCTAACTCCAACTTCACAGGAGACCTGAAGCAAGAACTAGCCAGTTAAGTCTAATCAACTCATTAAACTGTGAGAGATAGGCATACATTGTTGTAGCCTACTAAGTTTTGAGATGGTTGGTTATGCACTGTGGATTCCTATTACCAATCGGCTATAATTATAAAATATCCACTGGCAAATATAAGTTCCAGAGGCAAAGACTGTGTTCCTTTTGCTCATCATTGTATTCATAACATGCAGCACAGTGCCTAGAACACAGAAAGCCCTAAACTAATAATACGTAAAAGTTTGAAAAAGTTTATCTGTACTAGTATGAAAGAAAGACCCATAGTCAAACGGCTGACATTTTTTAGCAAGTTTGATGGGCACAATAACCTTATGGTGGTGGTATTACTACCTCTGTCTTTGAGATGAGGGAACCTCAGCTTTTTTTTTTTTTTTGAGGAAGTAAGCTTCCCAAGCTCAGAAAGGTAGGGGAGAGGGCCAGGCATGGTGGCTCACACCTGTAATCCTAACACTTTGGGAGGCCAAGGCGGGCAGATCACCTGAGGTCGGGAGATCGGGGCCATCCTGGCCAACATGGAGAAACCCTGTCTCTACTAAAAATACAAGAAATTAGCCGGGCATGGTGGCACATGCCTGTAATCCCAGCTACTTGGGAGGCTGAGCCAGGAGAATCGCCTGAACTCAGGAAGCAGAGGTTGTGGTGAGCCGAGATCACACCATTGCACTCTAGCCTGGGCAACAAGAGCGAAACTCTGTCTCAAAAAGAGAAAAAAAAAAAAGAAAGAAAGGTAGGGGAGAGATTTGAACTCAGATTTGTGCAATTCTAAAGCCAGCCTGTTTATTATAGTCTCCCAGGAGACAACAACAGAAACAATGAGAAAACAATTTGAAAGAGATGCAAAACCCACCCCTTGAATCTTACCCAGGACTATGGAGCTCCATTAATTGCTGTCAACACGCTGGAACCTATTTCACATGAAGCTCAGACCAATTACAATTAATGCCACAGTCATGACTACAAACTAGAAACCAATGCCAGAGGAAGCTTAAGTTAAAGAAAGCAACGATCACGCACATATATTATGTTAGCAATTAGGCTTAATCCTAGAATCGTGAAGCCAAAGAGAATATATTAAAGAGAGAACAGTGCCCTCCTGGGAAGAAGAGCAATTTCAAATAGACTTTTTAGTGGCTTTCTACATTACTTACTTGAATATATTATGCTCCCCTAGAATTACTATATTACAATTACTCACGCCACATTTTATTTATTTCAGCAAGGAAATGGGATGGTGCAATGAGCTCAGTGGGCAGACGGTTTGGTTATTTCAATGAATAATTTGAATGTCAACAAGTTGGTGGATGCTAAGATGAAAGGGGAAGTAGTAAATAGCAAAGGTCTCAATGCCTGACTCTGAGATGGAGTAAGGATGAGCTATCAGGACTGGCACTTCACTTCTAAATGTTGAGCACTCAGGTTTTGCTAAATTTATAAAAGCACATGAACTAACTAACATCGCATATTTCCTTAACGAGAAAACCAGTTTATCTCTGTTTAAAACAGTTCTGATCTACTCAAATACACATTTTTAATTTTCACTGAAAAATGTTATAAATAAATCAAAATTTAAATAAAAAAACTGGGAGGGAAAGGTAGATCTACTTCTCAATTCAGAAGATTAATAAAAGGATTAAGGAATTAAATAATCACATTCTCTAGCCTCAGCTCACGACTTTTTCAAGGCTCAGTTTCTCAATAAATGGAAAAGCAAATTCTCATTATTCTCCCAATCTGTTTGAAAGCAGAGCTGGGGTGTTACAGTGATTAACAGTTATCAAGGCCCATTAAAGTTGTTAATTATAGTGGCGTTCACTATCTTTTTCCATCATTTTTAGCTATTGAGACAGGGTCTTTGTGGATCCCAAGGATCATGTGTTTGCAGTTCAATTCAGCAGCCACTAGGTGGTAATATTGTTGATTTTGGTAGCCATGAAGTGTGATCTATCAGACCTGCCCTCTTAAATGGAATTATGTACATCCCTTATATCATCAAGATGTAATTATAGAAATAATTATACTTTAAAATATGTAAAATATTTTAATTGTGAAAAATATAATCCCTTATAAAAGTTCCATGCATATCTGGTACCTTTTAAACTTATGCTAATTCTACTTACCTTTTATTCTAATTATACACATGACTATCTTCAAATTATACATATAACAAAAATAAAGTGTCTGGTCTTAACAGAAATCCAGCTTATATTCATTGCTTCTGGCTTATTTTTAGAAGAGATGAAAAAGATGCACATAACTTTCCTTCTAAAATTATGGCCGTCCTCTGTAGTAAATAATTATTTGCCACTTGAACTTGGAACCACTGCTATTCGCACCATTGGGTAAGTAAAATTTCTGTGATTAACTTTCTGAGACCCACTGTCTGAAGCATCTGATAAGATTTGACAAAATCACGTAACAACAGCAGCGGCTGATATACATAGTGCCAGGTTCTGAGCTAACTGCTCCACATACATTAGTCCTGCGTTCCTACTAGAGCTGCCACAACTCATTTAAGGCCAAATGAACTCAGCAGAAGAAACATACCCGTATTATTTGAAGGAATGAAAAGATCTTTCCAGAATTGGACATTGTCTGCGAAACTATGTATTATATAACATGTATTATGCACAATAACTCCCAGAAGGCAATACAGGTGTTAAGCTCTTTCATTATGAAGAAGACAATAACTGTATAAATCAAAGAGAAGTCTTGTGATAGCATCTTTGATCAATCACTGATGAAAACCTTGCCATAGTTGTCAAGAATCCAAAGAGAAAGTGGTGGCTAGGCCAATAATTACGTGAGGCAATTTATCATGAGAACAACCATTATGCAAGATGCAGAGCTCAATACTGATTCCATAAAATACTTAAATACTTGTCACTGCAATTCTTTACTAATTACAATGGAAACTTTGTTGTTATTGTTGGGAAAGGTAAAAGAGGACCTCTATTAAGACCTCAGAAAAGGAATCTTTGAGGTTAAGCTGTTACCCAAGGTTAAGGCAAATCTACTATTCTGATACTTTTCTCCTTTAGATGATGAAACAAATATGCTTATTTCTATTTACCCCTAGGGTCCTGGGACTCAAAAGAAACCAAGTGGTTCTCTAAGTTAGTAGGATGGCACAGTAACAACGCTGGGATTGAGCTCACCCTGACCCTGAGTAAGTTACCAAGACCCTCAGACTCAGTTTTCTTATCTGGAAAGTTAGGAATGAAAAAAATCAGTTTCAAAGGATTGCTGCAAAATTAAATGAAGTGCTATGCACCTGTTGAAGTCAAGTATAGCATGCTCCCCAATCACCCCCCAACACACACACCAGAACTAACAATTCAGGAAGGAAATTTTCAGTATATTGGTGTTTCTCACAGAGGGTCAAAGTGGGACAATAAGAATGCCTTAAATGTAACACATTGTATTTATTAAAGCTTTATAGTTTATATGGTGGTTTCCCATGTATGTTATCTAATTTCATCTTCATAATGACACTGTGTACTAGATATTACTATTCCCATTTTACAGACAAGAAAAGAAAAAAGGCCCCAAGAACTTAAAATCCTTTGCAAAATCACATAGAAAGGTTAAGTGGTGAACCCAGTGTTCAAACCTAGGTCTTCTGACTTCAAGCACAAAGCTCTCTCACTACATTCAGAACACTTAAAAACACAACATTTTATTGTGCCTATCGTTAATAAGACTGTATTGCACACTTAAGAATTTGTTAAAGAGGGTAGAATTCATGCTAAGTATTCTTACTAAAATAATAAAAGTTGTATGTATGTAGAAAAAAGTATTGCTTAATCTAATTAAACTAAACAGCTTCTGCACAACAAAAGAAACTAGCATCAGAGTGAACAGGCAACCTACAGAATGGGAGAAAATTTTTGCAATCTACCCATATGACAAAGGCCTAGTATCCAGAATCTATAAGGAACTTAAATTTACAAGAAACAACCCCATCAAAAAGTGGGCAAAGGAGATGAACAAACACTTCTCAAGACATTTATGCGGCCAACAAACATGAAAAAAAGTTCAACATCACTGATCATTAGAGAAATGCAAATCAAAACCACAATGAGATACCATCTCCCACCAGTCAGAATGGCGATTAAAAAGTCAAGAAACAATAGATGCTGGTGAGGCTGCAGAGAAACAGGAATGCTTTTACACTGTTGGTGGGAATGTAAATTAGTTCAACCATTGTGGAAGACAGTGTGGCGATTCCTCAAGGATCTAGAACCAGAAATGCCATTTGACCCAGCAATCCCATTACTGGTATATACCCAAAGGATTATAAATCATTCTGCTATAGAGATGCATGCACACGTATGTTTATTGCAGCACTATTTACGATAGCAAAGACTTGGAACCAACCCAAATGCCCATTGATGATAGACTGGATAAAGAAAATGTGGTACATATATACCATGGAATACTATGCAACCATAAAAAAGGATGAGTTCATGTCCTCCTAGTTTTTCCAAAACAAACTAATGAAATGTGAAAAGGGTGAATTCACAAGGGGCTATACATAGAAAGAAAGAGGCTGACTGACTTGGCTCCATCCTCTACTTCTACCTGGGGACATTTCCAATCATCAGAAAGAGGTTAATGCAATTGCAGCTCCAGAGTCTCATCAAACTATCTTGGATTCTGCCATGATGAAAGGGAAATGAGGAGATTACCCAATAACACCATCATGAGGTTGTCCTTAGTAATACTTCAATTCTTACATGGTTAAGGGCCTACTCAAAGTTGTAAAAATCAGTTTAAGGTATAGTCCCCTGTTCTACCAAAGCAAGCAAATAAACTGGTTCCATAACGTTGAAAAGATGTAGGGGTGTGTGTGTGTGTGTGTAAATATCTGCTGCTGCTCTAGGAAAGACCCTGTAAGAGTTAATGATACTTATCTGACAAATAATATCTTACCTCCAAACCCAACCACTACCATCTCTCTTCCACTAGCATGTAGTTCTGAGACAGTGTTTAAAAACAGAAGACAAGGCTGGGCGTGGTGGCTCGTGCCTGTAATCCCAGCACTTTGGGAGGCTGGGGTGGGTGGATCACTTGAGGTCAGGAGTTCCAGAAAAACAGGAGACAAACTCTTTAAAAAACTAAGAGTTAAGGCCGGGCGTGGTGGCTCATGCCTGTAATCCCAGCACTCTAGGAGGCCGAGGTGGGCGGATCACAAGGTCAGGAGATCGAGACCATCCTGGCTAACGCAGTGAAACCCCGTCTCTACTAAAAATTACAAAAACTTAGCCAGGCGTAGTGGCGGGCACCTGTAGTCCCAGCTACTCGGGAGGCTAAGGCAGAAGAATGGCATGAACCTGGGAGGCGGAGCGTGCAGTGAGCTGAGATCGCGCCACTGCACTCCAGCCTGGGTGACAAAGCGAGACTCCATCTCAAAAAAACAAACAAACAAAAAAATTAGAGTTAAGGCCTAAAATGCAAATACCCACGGAAGAGGTCAGATCCTGACAATGATCTCAAGATATAAATGACTGAGATTTGGTTCTATGTTTGTGATTAGGTTTAAAGGATGGTCTGTGTCGGGGTAATCTGAGAGAAGATCTTTACTCTCTCATTTTGGCATATTCATAAAAGTGTACATTGAAGCACCTGTGTAATGAAGAGCCCAAATGAAATAAAGAACAGGATTATGGCAATAAGAAAAAAAATATGAGGAACAGGTAAAACACCCTACATATTAGAGGCCTCTTCTTGACCATAATGTAAATTAGGGTTCACGTTACATACCTAATAATAACATCACAAAAGTGTGACGCCTGAAACTGAAGTGATGATGGAAGCATGAGCAAAATAAGTGAAGTCAATCCAAGTCAAGGAGAAAGAACGGAGGGGTTCCAGCAGGTTCATGTGTGTGCACGTGTGTGTGCGCGCACACGTGTTGTGTGTATTAGACTGTCTTGAGCTCTCAATGCCTTTAAACATTTCCTTGCATTTTCTCATTGACTGGGAGGCTTCCATTAGATAGAGCCATCTAGAGCGATGTTGAAGAAGGCAGCCATAGGAAAGAAACCAAGGTACTAGCTCATAGATCTTGCTTGATAAGGGACCTTCAGATTTCCTTTTAAGTTGTCCAGTTCAGCACCCAATGAAAGTAATGAGACTGTGAGTAAGACCATTTGGTTTCCAATTCTAGGTTCAGGTGGCTAAGGGACCCCAGTTGGTATAATGATGGAGAAGCAATGAATAGGAAGCAGAATCTTAGGGAAAAATGTGAAGTGCGAAGTACTATAGAAAATTGTTTTTCAAAAAAAATTTGTTTACTATTTTAAGAGGTATTCACTGGTTAAAACACCCAAATTTATAACAAATCTGCATACGCCTATGAACCTCATCTGCCTATTTTCTACCTGCTGCAGCAATGAACCTGTTTGATTAGTTTTAGGAGTAATAGTCTAAATATTTAACAATAACATAGGTACTAACTAGCAGAACAGGCAACCTGTATGGGTGTTATGGTGAGGACCAGCTGAATATCAGTCTTGGGTTAGTTCTCTTTTGTTTTTTTTTTTTTTTTTTTTTTTTTTCAGAGACAGAGTCTCACTCTGTCACCCATGCTGGAGTGCAGTGGCGCAATCTCGGCTCACTGCAAGCTCTGCCTCCCGGGTTCATGCCATTCTCCTGCCTCAGCCTGTTGAGTAGCTGGGACTACAGGCGCTTGCCACCACGCTCAGCTAATTTTTTTTTTTTTTTGTATTTTTAGTAGACACGGGGTTTCATCGTGTTAGCCAGGATGGTCTCGGTCTCCTGACCTCGTGATCTGCCCGCCTCGGCCTCCCAAAGTGCTGTGATTATAGGCGTGAGCCACCGCGCCCGGCCAGTCTTAGGTTAGTTCTTATTTGTTCTCACTGTTAGGTAGTATTCATTTTTTGCTTCATCTTTATCTGAATGATAAAATAATATACCTAATAATAACATAACTACTCTTCTGACCCTTGCTTTTATCCACTTAAACATATACATTAGGGATCCTCCAGGTCAATACATACAGACTTTTTTTTAAAAAAAGATGCTTAGTATTCCAATGTATGGAAATACCATAATTTCACAACTCCATTACTGGATAGTCATTAGAAACCGACTTCGGGGGAAAACATACGCTCTTTGCAGGAATTTCTGGGAAAAAAATCCCCTCTAGCCCTTTTAGATAAAAGCCTACCTAATAGACCTGTGATAAAATAGCTTTCTTTTCTTTATTTTTTTTTTTGGAGGAGTCTCACTGTGGCCCAGGCTGCAGTGCAGTGGTATGATCTCAGCTCACTGCAACCTCTGCTTCCTGGGTTCAAGCGATTCTCCTGTCTCAGCCTCCAGAGCAGCTGGGATTACAGGCGCACACCACCATGTCCGGCTAATTTTTGTATTTTTAGTAGAGATGGGGTTTCGCCATGTTGGCCAGGCTGGTCTCAAACTCCTGACCTCAGGTGATCCGCCTGCCTTGGCCTCCCAAAGTGCAGGGATTACAGGCTTAAGCCACTGCGCCTAGCCAAATAGCTTTCTTCATCTTCCAAGGATTACTGTTCTGTTACTTAAGTGATCCGGAAGTCACAAGAGATTATCTTAATTCTTGGCCATTTAATGATCTTTGGAACCACGCCTGTCGGTATTTTCTTGAGTAGCAGTGGAGCATACAAGAACCCATTTTGGCTCAGGCAGAGTTCATGTTCTCTAGCCATACTTCTTCTTTCCACAAGCTTTGTAAAGGACGTCAGAATTATTTCCCTCACAGGTTACATTGTTCAGATTACTGACCTTTCCTGATCTCTGTAACCTTAGTGGTTGAATATGGTGATTCAGATAGTTTTGTTTCTTTATTTCTGGGGGTTGAAGTGAAGAGATTATGTAATAACCTGCTCTTATTTTGCAACTTAGAGATTTAAGTATGGCCTTTGTCAATCTAATCTGACCAAAGTATTTACTAAGAATAGATTACGTGCATATGCCCAACATAGAAAGATGATTCTATATCCAGGAGGTCTGACCACAGAAATGTATTATCGACCAAAAATGTACCTCTTCAGATTCTGGGATGATTCAGCAATTCTGAAAGGATTTAAACAGAAAACCCAAGGAGGAGGAAAAAATAGCCTCTAGGTACATTACACAATTCAAGCTGTTTGTTCATAAATTCAACAAACACTTATTAACACCTATCATGGGACAGGCTGAGCCTATATGATGTTGGGACAAGTGAGTGAACAGGACAAAACAGACACAGTCCCAGCTGTCATGGAATACCCATCTATTTATATAATTCCTTTTGCATTCAATGTTGAAAATCAGAATTACTGCTTTTGTTTATTTTAAACCTGGTAAATTTATCTATTTTTTACTAGAAAATAGTTCTTTTTTTTAACTTTTATTTTAGGCTTGGGGGTACATGTGAAGGTTTGTTACATAGGTAAACTAAAACAATTTTTGATATTAAGAATATCTCTAATCTAGCCAGGCGTGGTGGCAGGTGCCTGTAGTCCCAGCTACTTGGAGGCTGAGGCAGGAGAATGGCGTGAACCCGGGAGGCAGAGCTTGCAGTGAGCCAAGATCGCGCCACTGCACTACAGCCTGGGTGACAGAGCAAGACTCTGTCTCAAAAAACAAGACAAAACAAAACAAAACAAAAAAAACAGTATCTCTAATCTCAGCTGGTCAAAGGAACTTAGAAAATAGTTTCATAGACTAGGGCTAGAATGGTTCATGCAGAATCATTCAGAATTTGGCTCCATTCATGGATGCCAAGCGAAATTAACGGAGAATGAGATAAGGCCAAGTGTGGGAGAGTGCTGGGATTAGAGCTAGTTTAGGTTCCAGCCCTCCCTGCCAAAGCTATAAATACAAATGACCAATTTAACAGCATGAAAAGACCACCTACAAGATCTATACCTGGGATCTAATCAGTTGCTCTGCGCCTTCTTTTAATTATAGGATCCCTGCCATGTTTATGGGAACTTTTAATGTGAGCATCACAGTTTTGAAGGCCATATCATTATGACCATGTTTGATCTGAGGGTGGGAAAGCAGGAGCTCACAAAATGCCTGCACAAGGTTATTCTGAACTGAGCTATAAACCAGCTTCAACAAGAGCCTAGTGTGGAAAAGAAAAAAGACACGTAAGAAAAAAGGCATGGATATCATGGAGTTTGCAACCCCGCCAAGTGGTGCCATTAAAATTACATTCAATTCTTCTCAGAAAATGAAATTAAGAAAAAGTACCACAGTTTTGTCAAATAACACTATATAAGGACATTCTGAGAAGGGAAGAATGAAAAAGACATAAGGATAAACGCATCATCTCCATCTGAGTGTGGCAACAGGATATGATTTACAGAAGAAAAATTAAATCATCATGATTGTTAGAGCTGAATTGCAGCTGATATAAAAATAATCCTGAGTCACAACGCACGTGACTTCTCAGGCATACAGAACACAATTGCTTAAAACTTTATAAGTGATAAGACTCCTAATAGAGAATTAGCTTTCTTGCAAAACACTCTGTATAAGCTGTGCTGTAGAAGTACAGAAGTATCTTTTCTCAGTTACATTTGTTATATGATATCCTGTGCTCAGATACTCTGATACTTCAGGTATCGCCTCATTCTACACTCTTTTCTTTGGGCTATCTCATTCATTCCTATGACTTGAACCTTTGTCTCATCTAGCTCTCTCCCATGAGCCCAGCATCTCTACCTGCGCGTCTCACATGTACAAAGTTAACCTGTCTAAAGTTGACCTCACTGTCTTCCATCTCAAATCTAGTCTTATCAGTATCCAACCAGTTATCCAAGCAAGAAAAAGGAGTTACCCTATTCTCCTCTGTTTCATTTTGTACATCCAATTTATTAACCTGTCCTGTAATGCCTAAAACAGCCCTTTACTGTTTACAATTATGTCTTTTCCTTCTTATTTTTACTGCCATTGCTTTGTTTGTTTGTTTTTGAGACAGCGTCTTGCTCTGTTGCTAAGGCTGGAGTACGGAGAATGATAGTTCACTGTAGCCTTGAACTCTTGGGCTCAAGCAATCCTCCCACCTCAGCCTCCCAAGTAGCTGAGACTACAGGCGCCACCACTTTCAACTAATTTTTGGAGAGATGGGGTCTCACTTTGTTGCCCAGGCTGGTTTCAAACTCCTGGCCTCAAGTGATCCTCCTACCTCGGCTTTGCCATTGCTTTTGCTCAAGTTCTTAATTAGTCTGTTACTTGTCCAATATTTTTTTATATTACTGTTAGTTATAACTAACATATTTCTCAGCCACAACAAAAAGCAAAGAGATATACCCCCTGCAAAATAATTGCACAAACCAAAACAATGCAAACAAATCCAACATGATCATGTCACTCCTGTACACATTATTTTTCAATATTATCTGCGGCCTGTCAGACAAAGTTCAGATTCTTTAGCAAGTCATATTGTGACTCTTATCACCGTTTTGGTCTTGTGTTCTTCTCATTTGCCTTGTGATCTAGCCACACCAAGTTGCTTGCCATTTCCCAAACACATCATGTCTTTCATCCTTCTGAGACTTGCAGTGTTTTCCTCTGCCTGGAATGCCCTTTGTAGCCTGTCTGCTGAGAATTTCTAATCCTCAATTTCCTCATCTGTATAGCAGGGCGGTAACAGTACTCACTTCAAAGGACTGTCATGGTGACTAAGTAAAAAGGTGATTTGTTCCCCATGGTATTTAGCAGATAGAAGCACTCAGTAAATATTAACATTATCATTGCCATCATTATTATTTTGTTTTTTCAACTCTAAACAAAAATATCTTCTTTGCTGAAAGTCTTACCTAAAAGTGTTGGGCATTCTTCCTCTCTGATTCTATATGCCTAATTATAGTACCACATTACACCAACTCCAAAATTGATAGAATTTTCACGTTTTAGAGCCTCTGATATTGGGGTACATCTTAAGAGTCTACATGTTGTGGCTTATGGCAGTAATTTTTCTTTTTTAGTAGTACATGTAATAGTGGTATTTCTTACAATAAATAGCGTATTAGATGAAATACTATAAACTGTATGACAATTGTCATAGAAATTTGATTATCTATGGTGAATAGTGCCTATCTGTGGCAAATGGAAAATCCTACATTTTCTACGAATCAGTGAAATATCTACGCAATAAATGAAGTACTATTTGGAACTCTACACAGTAGAGAGGAGATACTCCATTTGTATATACTGCAATTTGGCAAAAACCCAGCCCCTACATCATAGCATACTGCTGTGAACTATAATGTATTTCTTAACCACAAACCCTAAACCATACATTTCAGAAATGTAGAGGTAACAGCCTGACCAAGTAGCATGCTGTCACCTCCTTTGGTTACGTAGCCCCACTTGAGAGCCAAACAAGGGCCAGGCCCAGAGTGGGCAGGGGGCTAGCTTGTGAAACTCTGCATTCCAGTAACTTAGGATTCAAGCTGAGAAGGCAGGGCGACAATGAGAAGAGAGTGTAGGAATGAGCTGAGGAAAGCCTACGGAACATGCCTCTAGACTAGCACTTTCTGATAGAAATAGAATGTGAACCACTAATACAATTTAGATTTTCTAGTAGCCACACTCAAGAAGTAGAAGAAATATAATTTAGCTAATATATTTTGTCAGGTTATTAACATATTTATTAACTTACCTATAAATGAATGTTAATCGTTTTATTTATTTAACATATCTAAAATGTTATCACTTTACCATGCAATCAGTAAAAAAAATCAGCAATAAAATATTTGACATGTTTTTTCTGCTGAGTTTTCAAAACCCCGTGTTTTACCCTCATAAGACATCTCAGTTTGGATTAGCCACATTTCAGCTTCTCAAAAGCCACATGTGGCTAGTGCTTGCCACATCGAACAGCACAATTCTAGACTGTTTTGACAAAATGAGTTAAGTAATGAAATAATTGTAACAAGCTATTTCAACAGTAGACTTTTCTACCATACGGTATTGGGAATGTTTAAGATTCCTACAATAGTATATATATTTTTATATTCTTAACTTTTTTAATAGAATGGTAATGTTTCCTTCAAATTCAATCTGTGTCATATTTTGGCTGGTTTTGTCTTAAGCATGATTTGATGTTATTCCTAATGTTACTTTTACCTCATCTGTAAAGTAGGAGCTGATGAGCTGATTGTCACTTTTACCTCATCTGTAAGTCAGGAGCTGATTGGCCGGGCAAGGTGGCTCACGCCTGTAATCCCAGCACTTTGGGAGGCCGAGGCGGGTGGATCGCCTGAGGTCAGGAGTTCGAGACCAGCCTGGCCAACATAGTGAAACCCCATGTCTACTAAAAATACAAAAAACTGGCCGGGTGTGGTGGTGGGCGCCTGTAATCCCAGCTACCTGGGAGGCTGAGGCAGAAGAATTGCTTGAACCCGGGAGGTGGAGGTTGCAGTGAGCCGAGATCGCACCACTGCACTCCAGCCTGGGCAATGAGGGTAAAACTCCACCTCAAAAAAAAAAAACAAAAAACAAACAAAAAAAAGAGCTCGTTGTATTCAATTATAGATCTTTTCCCATTAAGATATTCCTTGGGACAGAGTGTAGGAGTATACAATTAATCTTAGTACTCTTGGTCTCTAACATAGAGCCTAACCTATAGCAGGCTCAGAATAAATCTTTGAATACACATTAAAAGGTGAACTAAGCTAGAGAGTACTGGCTATCTGGGTTCCACACTGGAATTACGTGGAGAGTTAAAAAAAAAAAAAAAAGAAAAGAAAAAAGAAAGAAAATCTGATGCCTGGCCCCACCCTGAGAGATGCTGATGATGGGTCTAGAGTTGGGCCCGGGTATCAAGATTTTAAAAAATCTCCTAAGTGATTCTAGTATGCAAGAGAGTTGAGAACCACTGTTTTAGGACTTTCTTAGAACAGCTTCCTATGGCCATACCTTTACTTCCCTGTCATAAGATCCAGTTTCCCTCATATAAATTCCGTTTCTCTGAATAGACCAGAATTGTCTTGGGAGCCCTAGTAGAGAAGAGGCTAACACATTATCCCAAATGGGGATTTGCAAATTGCTTTTCCAAGGTACCAAAGAAGATTCTCAAGGTTTTAAATCTATTCATATTTATGTCTTTTCAACAAAAAGAATAAAATTCACAATATAAGCTGGCTGCTTTGCAGACGCAGGATTCTAAGAGCATTACAGCATGCAGGTAAATAGTACCCTGACATGCACATGGCAAAATTTTCTAGAAATAGAATAGCAATTAAAAATAAAGATGGAATCCAAGTACAAATGAGCCTCATTTCAAGTTAATTCTACATATGTAAAAAGCAGATACTATTAACTGGGGTCAGCAAAGGGAAGTAGTTCATGGTTTTCTTCAGGCTACTTAGGTTATATTTACACAGTATAATTATACAGCAATGCATTTTTTGATAAGTCACTTATAAAATCCATCTCCTATAGTCACATAGCACACAAGTATTGGTATCTTTGCTCTCAAGATGGTACTTTGTCTGACAGCATTTCTTCCATCATATATGAGGTTCTGTAATGGCTGAGAGAGAAATCTGACTTCTCCTACTTCAATACAGACAACCTTTCATCATGGAGAAGGGAGCAATGGTCTCTGCACCAAGGGAACAGCAGCTGGAATGGAGTTCCTCTGACTCATAGACTGAGAATTTCCCTGCTGATTCTCAAGCTGGTTTGGCCACACTTTATGCATTCACCCTGCTTAACAGTCTTTTGTTGATGGTGTGGTAACAAGTGGCCTTACTCAGTAATAGAAAAAGCATGTTGAGATATCCCCCAAAGGCTCCTATGTGTGTTTCCTCTAGCTTTCCAGCAGGGAAAAAAGCTGCCTGCAACAACCCCACACTTATTTTTGTTTTACATCTTAAGTTAAATTTGAGAAATTAGAATAGGAATTATCTAAAAGACATGATACTTCCATGTTCACTAACCCTGATAAACAGAAGTTCCCTACTCATGCCAAAACTGTGAAGGAAGGAAATCTGTTAAGATTTCAAAGAAAGTGTGGAGTCTCATGCATACCAGCACATCACTTTCACTGACTAACCCCCAGAGGGCTGATAGGTAGCAAGTGATTGATGGGTGACATTCACTTGGCCCTAATTTTCCTATCTGAAAAGGAATGGAAAATATAACACAAGTTTCCAAGTTGCTACACTCATAAAACCAGGAGGGTGATCACCATCCACCTGTCCAGGTTGACCACAAATGTGAAATGCATGACCACATCTGCCTTACATGTATGTCATTTGTCAGTAAACACGGGCTAAGGAATTCCTTGAGCCCCATGAAGAGACAAAAAAGTTTGTCCTCAGAGAATTTACAAAAGCCAGAGTAACATTCAAGAATTTAAAATATTAAACTGGATTTGAAAGGTGATATGAAAGCTACAGGACAACTTTATCTACCGTGAGTATGTAACCACCATGGAAAGATGGGCTAATGAAATCACCAGAGCTGCCTGTGGTCAGCCAGGATGCCAGGGGCCGTGGGCCTCAGAGAAAGATTCATGGAATGAAGGATGTTTCAGGGCCACGTGTATGTGCGGCTGACAAAGCTTCCTACCTTTTTGGAAGAACTCCTCTAGTTTGTCCTTGAAAGGCTGGAGATACTCCTTTGGGGACTCCTTGCACACCACCACCATCTGTTTCTCACTTGCTGTGAAGAGAAATTTAGAATTAGACTTAGGAACACAGATTTGCTGAGCTCCTGCTATGGGCCAGGTACTGTGCTATGCACTTGGCTATCAATTGTGCACACTCCTTGTCAACCACTGTTGGTCCAAATTCCAGGATTGGGGGGCAGGGGGAACAAAACCCAGAAATAATAAACAAACCAACAAAAATAATTAGTTCATTCTACACCACTCTTGAGGAACAGGGCAATGTACAATCCTTCCATTTTTCTTCTAGAGATCCAGAAAAGTCTCTGACCTGGGATAGGTAAAGTATTCTGCTTGTGTTCTCCCAAAGATAAAGAGAGGCAAAAACTACTTGAGGATTAGTCTCACGAAATTAAGGGCCTCAGCCCTCCTCAGATTCACACTCCAAAAGTAGAGCTTGAAAAATATATTGCAGAAATTCTCAGGCACCCAAGTTGTCTAGAACTACCAACCTAGTGATTGGCCAGGGTGACACACGCATCCCAACATGAGAACTAAGACCAGGTCGGGGAGGACCCTGTCAGTTCTTCATGCTTCCCGTTCACCTACCCTTCCTTTTAATCCTCTACTAACACAAGGGGAATAATTTTACATAATTTACTTCAGATAGACTATCTAAAATTTGTAATAGAGTACTTTTTGATAATCAGGTCTGAGGTGACTTGACTTTTTAAAAATGACCTACCTTATTGGATAGTTACGATTTGTCTACAGGGAAGCCACAGTAAATCATAGTTCACCATCACAAAAGGCAGTTAACCCAGCCAAGAGGCATCTCCCCAAGGTTCCTATGTGTTTGTGCCAGTTACAGCATGCACTGGGAAAAGAAAGGCTTCGTTTCTACAAAGCTAGAGCTGAGTCAAGATCACTTTCATCTGTTGACCATGGCTGGAAATTAGATATGTTCTTGTCCAAAAGCCTATTAATAAAGCACTGGATTTCACCATAAAGATATCATGCCACCTGGGGTTCACAAAATAGAGAAACATATACTACAGATCTTGGAGCAATTTATAAACACACAGGTAAGGTATTTTGGAAGAAGGAGGTTGGGAAGGAGATCTTTATTTACATTGGGAAATTCCTATCCAATAATTTGGCATATTTAAAACTAGCATCTCAGAACGTATACTGCAGGCAAAGCAATAAACATGTCAGTTCAGAAATAGAGAAAATGCAAAAGACACCACTTAAATGTTCTCTGAAATTAGTTATCTGACACTTTTCATTTGCAATATTGCCAACTAGATTGCAGAAATCCTAGACAACCCTGGGGACTACAAAACGGTGCTGAAAATGAAAGTACAATTTGAGGGAACCCTTTGTCATTTTCTGAGTCAAGGTCAGAATCACCTACATTTTCAGAGGTATCTAGGGATTTCTCATGATACAGGGATGCTAGGTCACAGGACAGGGGTACCGAAATTCAAGCTCTATCTATTGACATTGTTTCTTAAAGAGTTTTTATAGAGCTATCTAGAATATCTGCTATTAGCTATTCTGACAACCATTCCAAGGCTATCTAGGAAATCCTGTCCATTGGGAGGCAAAGACTAATTTTTTAAATGACTTATCTTATTGAAAAAATACAAATCTTACCTTGAAACAACTAGAACAAATTCTATAAATCCAGTCAAATAATCATTTAAAACATTCATTTTTTCCACATTTTTTTCCTTTCTTTGTAAGCCTTTTTGTCCTCTCTACAATAACTACTTTATAGCTTCTCTGCTATTATGAGATTACCCTTCACCTCTTTTGAAATAGATGGATCTGTGGCCAAATGGTAAGTATGTCCTTCCCACTACCATTCTTTTCTCAAAATAGGACACTTTGCGCTAGAGTAGCGTCCAAGGAGCGAGAGAGTAGATAGAGCTGGGATATATTTTGCAGGTGTAACAAATAGGTCTTGCTGATTCAGTCAAGGTAGGGTTGAAGCAGATGGAAGGGTAAAGGGGTGGGCAATGGGTTGCTGGAAGTGCCATTTGCTGAGATAGAGAATAGTGGGGAAGTATCTTGTTGGATTATGTTTTTTTAAGAGACAGAGGACATCAAGAGTTAAATTTGATGCTTAAGTTTTCTCTAGTCTCTATAAATTGTAAGGCAATCTTGTCCCCTGAAAACAAAGGGGGAAAGGTACAAAAGAAGATAAAACTATTAATGGGTTCTCATCACGAATTCAACTAAATTCAAACTTCGGGGACTTGGATTATTTAAGGCCTTTTCCATTATGGCATATTTCAGCTCTATTTCCCACATGTATTTGACTAACCAAACCAAAGCTGTTCAATGTTTTCCAGTTACATTATTCGGCATTCCCAGTTCCATGTCTTCATTCATGTGGTTCTCTGCTCTGCTCTCATGCCATACATTCTTTCAACAATATCTGACAAAGTCCTGTTCATCCTAAAAAGCTTCTCTGAGATGCCAACATTGCCACAAAGCATTTTTCAATCCAATGTTTTTGCATCTTTCAAACATATCTATCACCGTCTGCACAGTATTTATGTTTTACCTTTAATATTTATGTAAAAGTCCATACATTAATCCCTGAGAAGTCATCATGCAGGATTCATTTACTTCTCCCCAAACTTCTCTAGAGAGCTCCATGTATCTGGCGAAAGCATCAGATTTCCTTATCTTGGCTGAATGTCGTGGTTTGCACCTGTAATCCCAGTGCTTTGAGAGGCCTTGGTGGGAGGATCACTTGAGGCCAGGAGTTCAAGACCAGTCTGGCAACACAGTGAGACCTTGTCTCTCAAAAAAAATTTTTTAAGTTATCCAGGCATGATGGTGCATGCCTGTAGACCCAGCTACATGGGAGGCTGATCTGGGAGGGTTTTTTCTGCCCAGGAGTTCGAGGCTGCAGTGTCATACCATTGTACTCTGGCCTGGGTGATAGAGTGAGACAGACAGACAAGAAAGGAAAGAAAGAATGAAAGAATGAAAGGAGGAAAGAAAGGCAAAGGCAAAGGCAAGGCAAGGCAAGGCAGGAGGGAGGGAGGAAAGAAGGAAGAGAGAGACAAAGAGAGAAAGAAAAAGAGGAAGGAAGGAAGGAAAAGGAAAAAAGGAAAGGGAGGAAGGAAGGAAGGAAGGAAAGAAAGGAGAGAGGAAGAGGTAGGAAGGGAGGGAGGAAGGAAAGAAGGAAGGAAGGGGAAAGGAAAGAAAGAAAGGAAGAAAGGGAAAAGTAGATGAAGAAAAAAGGTTTCTTCATCTTAACTAGATTCTCACGTGTAGGAAAGTTTAAATAAAATTAGCAATGTTGGCTTGGCACAGTGGCTCGTGCCTCTAATACCAGCACTTTGGGAGGCCAAGGCAGGTGGATCACTTGAGCCCAGGAATTTGAGACAAGCTTGGCCAAAGTGGTGAAACCCTGTTTCTACAAAAAATACAAATACTGGCTGGGCATGGGGGTGTGCACCTGTGGTCCCAGGTATTCAGAAGGCAGAGGTGAGAGGATCACCTGAACCCAGGGAGGTCGACACTGCAATAAGCCATGACCACACCTCTGCACTCCAGCCTAGTCTCACAGGGTGAGACCCTGTCTCCTGTCTAAAAAATATATATACATACATATTAGCAATGTTGACCCAGACTCCAAGTGGGCTTTCCAGAGATGCAATGTGACTTGCTTGCCCTTCCCCTGCACCAAGGGGTCACCGTCTCTGTGTCTCTGTACTCCTCAAACATGGTGAGGTGTCCCAAGATGATCTAAGGTTTGAGTGTATTTTAAAGACCCCCAGAAATGTCCACCACCTCATCCCATGAGTCATAAGCAAGGTAACAAAGGTAACAAAGATGATTATCCTGATTGGGTAGTTCTCAAGGTAGGCAGGGAAGCAGGAAAGACATCTGTTTTAAGGAATCAGCATTTCTCAATGAACATTTGTGGCCACATAAACTTTCCTGATTATTTCCAGCTATGATTCTGAGAATACAGTTAAAGAAAAGCTAGGATTTCCCACAATATAAATTGGGAGGAGTTCCTTAAATTATTTAATTAACCCTCTACTATATTCAAATTCCAACAATTTCATTTATATAGAATTGTTTTTCATGAACGTAGTATAAAACATGCCTGCAATTTACTAATAGGATATAATCGAACGCCTGACAATAACTCCTTCAAGGTTACTTCTCCCTGGTGAAAGCAAAGCTGAAGGCAGAGCTTGTTTCCCCAATTACAAAAGCAATACTTTCTCTTTTGCCTGAATTCACAGGGTTGATCGCTGCAGCTCTCCCTTTGTGCTAGATGTGGTGACAGAGCCCATGCGGTGCCCATCAAATTGCTCCAATTTTATGAGGCCATATCATGGGGGTGGTAAAGAGCTTGTGCTTGGATTGAGACCCACTAGGACTCAGGTGGGCTGTGGCTTGTTTTTCTCATCTGCAAAATGGGGACCTCCCGCAACACAGGCATGATATGATATTTAAGATAATACATACATAGTGATTTGCAGAATGCCTGGCACTCACAAGCAGGCTCATAAATATTATTTGTTATTTTTATGTTTGACTAAAATTGGTTGGGAAACATGTCAAGGTCAGAACAGCAAGAGAGTCATGGCTGGGGATTATTTGCTACAGATGCTGGGCACTGTATTTACGGAAATATGCCACGGTGCAAATCTCCTGTTTAGAACATAGGGATAATGATTTTCATTCCCGTGCTGAAGTTCCACCACCCATTGTGAGAATTCACTGAAGAATGCAGGCGAAGTCTTGGGGAAAGACGAAGCAAAATGGGAAACAATTCCCCTAGGCCTCTGAGCTTCGCGGTTTTGAAATTAGAAACTGAAACCAGTACAAACGAGAGCAGCTCCACTGCTGTGCTCCAAGGCCCTCTCTGCAGCCCCACGGGCTGGGATTCCCACGTGGCCTGTAAGAATTAAACTTCCCCACATGATCAAAGGAGAGGGCTGCCCTCCGACGGTCCCCACAGAGCCACGCGCCCCGGAGGCCAGGCAGCTTGCCTGCTCCAATTTATTGACTTGGCTTATCCGAGATGCTTTCTAGCAGACAAATGGGAGACCTGAAGGCTAATTAATGATGACACCGGAGACTGGCAGTGCATAAAGGAGAGAGGTCATGGACAGATCCACAAATGTCCTTCACTGTTCAACCGGAAGACTCGCATACGATATTGCTAGACCACCAAGGTTGCCTCAGGCGTGGGCTGTGCCAGGAGCTCCAGTTAAAAGCCAAAGTCACCCCAGGTTCTCTTTCTGTTATTTTTCTCTTTACACAATTTTTTGGCAATTAAAAATATATTAATTTCCGAAGTTAGTTACTACTAAGTGATCACTGTGAGACAGAGATGAAATATTAAAAACCAATACATAGTGAAATAACTGAGACTACATGGAGAATATTTTCACTTACAGGTTAAACACTGGTGGAGTATTTTAGTGAAAGGAAAGATATGGCCTAGACTATTTTAATATTTCAGATATTAGGCTGTTAAGGTCAGAATTATCTGTTTTTTGTTTTTCACCCCTAAGAACAAGGGAATAAAGCTTATTAAGCCACTTAAAAAGCCTAGGCAGGTTAGAAAAATGTAGCAGTAAGACCCAGATATAATTCATCAAAGTCAAATACGTTTAATTGCTTTGTAAATCAAATGTATGTGGGCAATTGGTATGAAGATATGAAACTTGTTTCTTTTTGTATGAGCTGAAGGACCTGTGGGCTTAGTTAAGTCAGAATACAGTTTTAGAGGAAAGGAAAGGTTTATCAGGCTATCTGCTTTTCCAGAGTTCTCTCTTCTTCCCTGTCTGGTTACCTAAGTCTTACCCCACCCTTCCACAGTCCTGCGCCAGTTCTGCCTCTTCCTCACTTTTACAAGATCCATGTCCTGTTCACAAGCTCCCTGCTCAAAGGACCGCCATAGAAAATGGCTGCAGCAACATATGGAATTTTTTTACTAAAGCAAATTCTTGTATTATATCAATGGGGCTTAGATGAGAGACATAAAGTGAAGCCAGAGATCAAAAGCCTAGAATGCCTGGTTAAGGAGTTTATCATACAGGAATCCATTCAATAAATACATCAGTTCGGCTAGGCGCGGTGGCTCACGCCTGTAATCCCAGCACTTTGGGAGGCCGAGGCGGGCGGATCACGAGGTCAGGAGACCATCCTGCCTAACACGGTGAAACCCCATCTCTACTAAAAATACAAAAAATTAGCTGGGCGTGGTGGCGGGCACCTGTAGTCCCAACTCGGGAGGCTGAGGCAGGAGAATGGCGTGAACCCGGGAGGCGGAGCTTGCAGTGAGCCGAGATTGTGCCACTGCACTCCAGCCTGGGCGACAGAGCGAGACTCCATCTCAAAATAAATAAATAAATAAAATAAAATAAATAAACACATCAATTCAACACATGTCTACTGAGCACCTACTACGTGCCATAAATTGTGTCAGATATTGGGGTTCCATCAGCAAAAGAAACAGACTAAATTCTCTGCCCTCAGACATTATAGTGAATGGGTCACCAACTAAGATTTCTTAATGGGTATGGCACGCAGTAATTATTGTTTCTAGTAACTTGAACTGCAGGCAAACCTACGAGTTATTTCCTTCCATGTTCATCTTTTCTACTTTAATCCCTTTAGTAAGAACAGGACCGTCTAGTGCACTTCCTGGTGGTGGGGTGGGAGGACGTGGTTAGAAAAAGTGAATGTCCTTTTAGCTTCCTGCCCCCAAACACACTTTTATCAAAACAAATGTAAAAACAAATTCAGAACTCAGAATCTCAATATTAGCTTAACTTGCACAATTTTCTTCTTATGGCATTGGCCTTAAACTGACTAAGGAATTACATGAAATGCAATGTAATAAAATACTAAAGTTAGAACAGTAATATTTTATTTTGGCTAGCAGCAATGCATGGACTTCTATGAAAGGGGAAAATCATACTTACAATTAATAAAATATTAGATATTTTTTCATTTGCTTATTAAAGCTTGGCACAAATGAGAAGGTACTATTTTGTGGCTATCTACTGTACACACTTTTTTATAAGGCCATATAGAAAAGGCCACACAAAGGGAGGTTTCAAGTTGATTTAAGCCAAAAACAAATGACAGAAGCCTGCAATAAAAAGTACCTATTTCATGTTCTTGAGGTCTGATGCTACACAGCAGGAGTATTTTAAATCTTGGCAGGGTTAAGAGTAGGGAGTGGTATTACTGGAAATCACAGGGTGAGGATAACTAGGAGAGGGCAAAGGGGAAATCTATTCAAGGAGACACCGACATAAGTTAGATTTTGAAAGGGACCGCTACACCCATTTTCTACTAAATAGCCCTTCAAAGCCCACATTTCTCAGCTCAAATCAGACAACTGTGCATTAATGACCCATATGTGGAAAATCTATATGTAACCAAAGGTGTTTTCCTTCTTTAACCTTGGTTTGGGGATTCACCTGACATCATATGCAAATTTTTCCTCCTAATGACTCTATTCATCCAAAGGCAAGACACTATATTTAAAGTGGTCAAAAAACTCCGAATTCCCAGTTGTCCATTCAAGTTAAAACACAGGCTTTAGACACATGGAACCCAGGTCAAAATATTATCTCAGAATAATGTAGCTACATACATGGACTTAGACAAACAAGTGCCTTTTTATAGACAAACAAGTGCCTTTTTATATCTACACATACATAGTGTCTATGCCTCAAAAGCTAATTAGAACATTGTACTTAGTGAATAGAGCTTTAGTATACTCCAAGAAGTAGAAACAATCCAAATGCCCATCCATCGTCTGATAAATGGATAAATAAAATATACTTTATACACAGAATGAAATATTTGGCCATTAAAACAAATGAAGTACAAGTACATACTACTACATAGAAGAACGTTGAAAACATTATGCTAAGTAAGAAAAGCCAATCACAAGAGACCACATATCCTATGATTCTACTCACATGAAATGTCCCAGTAGGCAAATCTATAGAGACAAAGCGGATTAGTAGTGGCTGAGGACTAGGAGAGAAAGAGGGAGAGAGAGAGAGGTGACAGCTAAGGGGGTAAGGGAGAAAAGTTTTCCTTTTGGAGTAATAAAAATTTCAAAAAATTGATTGTGGCAATGGTTGTACAACTTTGTGAATACACCAAAAGTCATCAGATTGTACACTTTAAATGGGTGAATTATGTGGAATGTGATTTCATCTTAATAAAGCTGCCTAAAGCTAATTAGAAAGTCAGCCTTAAACTGGAACTATAATGAACAGATAAATGAAGAATGCCTCATCTGTACTTCTTTATATAAGGTAAATAATTTTAAAAATCTTAGGTGCAACTATGTCTTCATTATAATACTTACAATATTACTAAACTAGGAATCAAAAGTGGGAAATGAGTTTGAGATGCACATGTAATTGAGAAATTAAACATATTAGTCAATCTTCAAAAAGTAGCAACAAACGTTATTAAAATAAAAGACCTGGCCGGGCAAGGTGGCTCACGCCTGTGATCCCAGCACTTTGGGAGGACAAGGCGGGCAGATCACCTGAGGTTGGGAGTTCGAGACCAGCCTAATCAACATGGAGAAACCCTGTCTCTACTAAAAATACAAAATTAGCCAGGCGTGGTGGCGCATGCCTGTAATCCCAGCTACTCAGGAGGCTGAGGCAGGAGAATCACCTGAACCTGGGAGGCGGAAGTTGTGGTAAGCTGAGATCGTGCCATTGCACTCCAGCCTGGGCAACAAGAGTGAAACTCCACCTCAAAAAAAAAAAAAAATAAAAATAAAATAAAATACCTACTAAAAATAACTGAACTCAATAAGAGAAATACAAGTAAAGCATTTAAATTAAAAGTGCTAACTTTTGGAAAATTAAAACAATAGCTTTCGCACATTCTTAATTGTGGCATACAGCTATGTATATATATTTACACATATACACCAACAATTGGTACATTAGAAAAATTTCCCCTTTGAGGAACATCACACAACGGGGCCTGTTGTGGGGTGGCGGGAGTGGGGAGGGATAGCATTAGGAGATATACCTAATGTAAATGACGAGTTAATGGGTACAGCACACCAACATGACAAATCTATACATATGTAACAAACCTGCACGTTGTGCACATGTACCCTAGAACTTAAAGTATAATAAAAAAAAAAAAAAAAGAAAAAAAATTTCCCCTTTGAACTACTCTTGATTTAAAGATGCATTTATTCTTAGTTTTTCATACACTCTATTTGGCTGGAAAAGTTATTTAATATCTGACTCTTAGTTTCTTGATACATAAAATCTTGTGAGGACTAAATAAACATGTGAAAAAAAAGCATTTTGTATGCTGAATAGTAAAACGCTAGCCAAAATATTCTTCAGCTATTTTAAATAATCAAACAGTAGAAAGGCTGGCTAGATAACATACTGTACGCGGCTTTATTCTTTGTTTCCAAGAAGAGCTAAACAATAACAGCAACCTCACAAACTCTTTGAATAACTGACATTCCTAATGTTTATGTGTTTAATAAACAAATCATGTTACAGTCTAATCATTTTCCCAGTCCAACTGTCTTTTAAAATTTGCAATACTCACTTTTTCCTATTTCTTGTTTCATGACCCACTGAAATTTACTTCCTCCCCATTGTGACACTGAGAAAGCACTCTGAAGTCACTAATTAACCCATCCTGTGGGCAGTGTCCTCATTTTGTATCTCCTTCGCTGACAACCCAGCAGGATTCTGCATCTTGACTACTTCTCCTTTGTAAAACACTTTGTCCCTTAGCGTCTGTGTTCCCCATTGTGGGCTTTCCTCCTACTTCTGCCTGCCCTGTTTCCTATGCAGCCTCATCTTCCTATACAGAGTCATTAAACGTTAAAGTTCTCTAGGGTTTGGCATAAGGCTGCTCCTCCTCCCATGCTATGCTCTCTGTCTAGACAATGTCATCCAGGTAAACATTTCAGTAACCATATCTGGGATGTGTCTCCCAAGTTTACACAGCTAGCCCACAGTTTCACCTCCTACGGAACTCCTGAATTCATTACTCTTCACCAGGCTGCTATAGTCTCAGCCTAACTGTTCTTCCCATATCCACCCTGCCTCTCTCTGATTTGTTCTCCATACCTGAGTCAAAGTGACCTTTATAAAATCTCATTATGCCAGTCCCCTGCTTAAACCTGCAGGCACCTCTATTACTCTGAGAGGTTGTCTTCAATCCCTCAAGCTGGCCTGCAAGGCCCTACATGCGCTACGTCTTGCCTGCCTTCCCAGCCTCACCCTGCTCTCCCTGCCACAGTGGCCCTTCTTTCCATTCCTCAAACATGCTCACTTCTTCCCATTATGGTGTTCTCCTGCTATGCCACTCTCCTTCACTTCCTAGTAACCAGGACCTAGTCAGTGCTTAGTCATCATTACGACCTCAGCTCAGAAGTCTCATCAGGTTTTTTTTTTTTGAGACGGAGTCTCGCTCTTTCACCCAGGCTGGAGTGCAGTCGTGTGATCTCCTCGGCTCACTGCAAGCTCCGCCTCATGGGTTCACGCCATTCTCCTGCCTCAGCCCCCTGCCCCCCGCTCCCTGTGCAAAGGCTAATTTTTTGTATTTTTAGTAGAGACGGGGTTTCACCATGTTAGCCGGGATGGTCTCAATCTCCTGACCTCGTGATCTGCCCGCCTCGGCCTCCCAAAGTGCTGGGATTACAGGCGTGAGCCACCGCGCCCGGCCATCAGGATTTCTTTTCCACCTTCCATTCTGTGATGAGAGACCCTCTGTTACAAAGTCATAGCACTGTATACCTTTCCCCTTTTCATGATTATTGGATTGTCTCCCTCATTAGGCAGAAACTGTATTTTTCTTACTGTTAAATCTCCAGCATCTACTGTAATGTCTATCTAGTGAAAGCTGTTCCATGGGTATTTGCTAAATAAATGAATAAACTACCAGTTAAAGGGGAGAAACTTACACATGTGCAGTATGGATATTAGTGTCTTGATAGAATTTGGCTGTAGTACATGTACACTCATGTACCTCAGAATGATGCTTCTGTCAATAATGGACCACATATAAAACAATGGTGCCATAAAATTATAATGAAGCTGAAAAATTCTGATAGTCCGGTGATGATGTAGCCTTTGTAACACTGTAGAGCAAGGCATTACCTTTCCTTTGTTTAGATACACAAATGCTTACCATTGTGTTATAATTGCCTACAGTATTCAGCAGAATACTGAATACAGTTACAGTATAGTACAGCCAGTAGTACTGTAATATACTGTTAACTATATTCAGTATTCTACTGAATAATGTTGGGGACTGTAACAGTATAGAAACCTGTGCAGATTTGTAGCGTAGACGCCATAGGCTATACCATCTAGCTTAGGTGTGAAGTAGGCTACACCATCTATGTTTGTGTAAGTACACTCTATGATGTTTGCACAATGATGATATTGCCTAACGACACATTTCTCAGAACATATCCCAGTTGTTAAGTGACACATGACTGTATGTATGTATATGTAGACACAGACATATGCACATACACCGACACGTGAAAAACATCTCTCTTCATTTGTATAATACATGTAGATGGAGGCAGGGGCTGGAGAAGACACAAGTACACTGACATTCACTCATTCACCCACTTTCACTCACATTCACTCATTCAGATACGAGATACACATTTTTTTTTAAATCCCTGTCCGGGTTCCATAAACATTCATACATTCAAAATACTTACCAAGTATCTGCTGTATGCCACTGAGCTAAATGTTGGGGACAAATATTTAATGAGACCTACTGGTCATTTCTCCTCCAAAAAACATTCACAGTCTAGCAACAATGAGAAACAAGGAAATGAACAAATTGTGATATAGTGTGGTGTGATGGAACGCTGGGTATAGGCCTCTATTTCAGACTGGGCCAGGAGTTAGTAGCCAGGAAAGGCTCTCCAGGAGAGAAAACTTATGAGTTGAACTGCAAAGGTCAAGGAGGAGCTAGCCCTCAACCACAGTGAGGAAAGAGAATTAAGGTGAAATGTCATGAATAAAAGTAATACATGATGAGAACGCACGGGCCATTTGAATGAGTTAAGTGGTGTAGCATGTCTGGAGCTGTGGGACCTTCTCTCCTCAGATCACTGGTGTTCTGCATTCAGATTTTGGTGTAAAGGAAAGAGTGTGCGTAGGGGAGAAAAGCTTCTGGGCCCCAAAGGTATCCCAGGTTACACACTCAGGTGAACGGTGAAAAGGCTGGTGACCAGCCTGGTTAGGAAAAGTGTCACAGACATAAGGGGCTTGCAATTTTACTTAAAGTAGTTAGGAAAAGTCTCACTGTGAAGCTATTTGACTAGAGATTTAATCAGAGTAAGGGAGGGAGTCATGAGCAAGCTCGGGGTGGAAAATCAAAGGTGTTATTTAGAGCACATTAAGTTTGAAATGTGAATTAGACACTCAAGTGTATATAAAAGTCTGCAGTCTGGGACTCATGGCTGGAGTAGACACACATGCCAGGAAGTCATTGGTATAAAATTGGTATTTAAAGTGATAGCAAAATATGAATTGCCATGGGGAGAATACAGCCAAGGAAGAGAAGGTGTTGCAGGACAAACCCTGGGGCATGTGCACAGTGGAGGAGAGGCCAGCAATGAACAGAGAAGAGCTGTTCAGTAGGAAAGTGAAGGTCTGGAGTTACATGACCTGAGAAGAAAACAGAATTGCAGGAAAGAAAGAGCAGTCAGCTCTGTGCAGAAGGATCAAGTGAGATGAAGACAGAGAAATAACACTGATTCTAGTGACACAGAGGTCACTTGTAATCTCAAAAGCAGTTCCAGGGAAGTTGGGGGTGCGGGGAAAAAGCCAGCTTGGAGAGGCGTGAGGTAAATGGAGAAAGATTCTGTAGCCACTTGTTTAAGAAGTTAAGCTACAGAAAGAACGCCAAAATGGGGAAGTCGTTGGAATTAAGCCTAAAAGATAGCTCTAGTTTTCCTGGTCAAGTGCTAAAGATCAAATGAGGCCATGGAAGTGTTGTTTTCTTGGTGACTTTAAAACTGATTTAGTTCTTATCTGCCTGGGATGTTTTTGATAGTTTCCTTTCATGGTAGTAGGACTCCTTAGAAAGATTCTTCCTTTAATTTTTCAAGAAAACTCCCAAAGCCATCATGTCATAAAAATCATTCCATACAAGAAGATATTCTCTAGGGCTACTTTGATCACGTGCAGAAGAGGTCTAGCCCTTTACAGAGCGGCTGCCTCTTTCTCCAGAGGAATGTTCCATAAAAATAAACCCACCAGGAAGCTGGAGTCCAGGGGAATCCCATGATTCTGATTCACTCCACTGAGGGAGGCTGCCCAAGATCAAATTCACCTTAATGTACCATGATTGGGAGTGAGTATTCTCCATGAAAAAATTTAAGCAGAGGTGACAGGGCCAAGTGAGGACATGCTAGTGCGCTTTAGGACTTTTGGAAAGACTTGCAAAGCTGGGCCACTGACTACAGCCTTTGCACGGAATTGTCTAAAGCACCATTCAAAGGTCCCGCCTACCAAACGTCACAGCTGAGTCAGAATTTCCACTGTGATGATTATGTGGTTACGGACGCAGCCTCGGTCTGCGAGACATTAGCATGAAACATATTCATTAATCACCTACCCATGACGAGGCCTAAATATAGATGGATTGGGCATGATTTGATTTATAGGGTGTTAAGCGATTCAAACATTTATTCAAAAACATCCCTTTCACTGGTCCCCACAAAAATCGCCACCATGAGAAGCCTTCCCTTGAATTAAAGATGGTAACTCCAGAAATTTCATTAGAAATGCATATGTATTCGTTGAAAAAGAAAACATTGTCAAGAATAATTTAATGCTTTAGTAGAAATGTATTTCTAAGATTGGTTTAGGAGGTAGGGGATTTCAAAAACAATAGGTAGGAAAGTTGTGTTAACATGGAAGAAAAAGGCACATACTGCAAGCTCTGGCATCGAGGTGGACTGTGTGGCAGGGGTCCTAGGCAGGCAGCCCAGGCATGGAGGTACCGGGCCTCTGAAGGGGAAGGGAACTCATCTTCGGGAGGAGAGCAGCGACTAACTTCTAAAAAGTATTAGGAAGGTAACATATACACACAAAGACATTTGAAAAACATTTTTAAAACAGCAGAAAAAACAAATCGGTCATGACACCATGACCAGAACACAGTCACCATCTAAGACTTGCATACTTTCTCTTTCAGGGTCTGGGCCTCGGTATCGCGCTCCTTGCCCCTCCATCATTTTATGGGGGTTGCCTTACTTATATTTGATAAAGAATTTTTTTGTATTTTGATTCTTTCTATTAACATATCATGCACACATTCTCCTGTTATTTCACAAACTCCACAAGCATGTTTAACAGCCATATAAAATTTCATCAGGTAGGCATGCCATAGCTCACTTAATTCTCCTGTAGTTGGATAGTGAAATCCTTTCTACCTTATTCTCATGGGGAGTCAGGCTTGAGCCACATCTGTGTCCATACAAACTTATTCTAGGTTGAGGGTCATTTCTTTAGGAAATGACCTAAAGATACAAGATACAAAGATAAAAGATACAAGAAATGAAATTATAGGTAAAAAGGAAAAACCTTTGTAGAATTCTTGATATTAGTGGTCAAACTGTTTTTGGTACAAAATGGGTTGTACCACAATGGGAGAGATGAAGGGGAGAGATTTTGGAAATAAAACCATTTTCTGTACCACTCTGCAGAGGTGGCTGGCTCCATGCAAGCTAGAACGGTGCCTGTCACTGTCATGTAGGGACTACGGTCATCACATTGGAAGTGCAAAACTCTGGAATGGAAAACAGTAAGAGGACCATCCATCCACTGAAGTAATTTACTCAAACACAAGACCATAACTGGTGATATATGAGAGTTGATATAGAAATTGGGGATTAATCACAGCATAAAACTAGGTTTGAGGCCTGTGCATGAAAGTAGCTCTTTTTTTTTTTTTTGAAAGGCCCTAATGTGTCACGTTTAATTGGAATGTAAATTATGCTACTGTCAGCACTAGCAAAGCTGTCTGAACTTGGGGGAAGTGTACAGCAAACTTACATCAAACACTCAGAGTTTTGTAATATACATTTATATAATTATGAGCACACAAAATTTTAAATGCTCAGACTTTCCAATCAACAATATCAAGTAATCATTTGGACATACGATTGCAATTCAAGTCATTTGTGAAGAACATATAGAGCCTATATTTTGGGGCACTCCCATTGAATAGTACTTCAAGAAGCATACAGGTATCATTAGTGCAAGACAATGGTTAAAAGTCAGCAAAGGCAGAGCAAAGTTGTTAGCTAGAACGCCTCACTCCTCCCAAAATTATAGCAACACATCTTATCCACTGCTCTAATCAGGAAAATAGTACTCCTATAGGAATGCTTAAATACTAAATATGTCCTCTGAAGTCAAAATGCATATTTTGTGGCAATTTTTACTAGAATTGAGGATTCTCTCACACATACACATCTTGAAGGCCACAGGCCTGAGCCTCTTTATGAATCAAGGAAATCAGTAAGAGGAAGAGGTATTACAGCAATGCTGGTCTTAGGACTAGTCCCCTTCCAGCAGTGCAACAGCTGGCTACAAAGAGGCCAGTGATTAAGATACACAAGGCCTATTAGTAAAAAGCAACCTGTCCCCACATTGCTCCACCAGGACAGCTGCAAGTCTTCCACGGTTTCTCTGACCTCTGAGCCCATGTTCCCGTTTCAGCCCTCGCTGGTTAGTCACATTAACTGTAATTTTCTACTCTGGAAAGTGTTTACATCTAAATGAACCATGAGGGAATAAAGGAGAAATGACAGAAAGGCATAAAGAGAAGAGAGGGAAAAAAAAAAAGGATGGAAAGTTATTTTTAAAACACACAACCTAATCTGGTGGATGAATTCTGGTATCTAGTCTTGGCTCCAGAATCACTGGCAAAGCATGGAGCTGGCAGCCACTGCTAATCAGTTTGCCACTGTCTTCAGATTTAATGCAATATTTGGCTCAGACATTTAAAAAAATCCTATTCCAGCTAAAATATTTACACAGTCCTATGTGTCTCACTTAATGCCTGTTAAGCAATCGTCTTTTAAAACTCCACAGACACTTGTAAATCTGTCGGGAGAATTGTGGCCTATAAACAAGGTTTCATATAAAGAAGGCTGCATTGTCAATTTTGGGGGAGTAGGGATTTCTTAGGATGTGTTTGAAAATAGAGTTGAATATCAGAAACAGTTTAGAGTGGGTAACAAAGTGGCCAATAGTCTCGCTTGCTGGACGCCGTTAGTGGTATTAACGGGAAGCCTCCAGACACTGATCTCAGCTATTTAAAACTGTGCTCTCCTGTAAATCTGTCATTGATCCTACCTCTCTCTTGAGTTATGGCGCAGGGACAGTTTCTGGTCCAGCAGCCCCTGGTAGTCTGCATCCTAGGGCCTGTCAGGCTAGAGATGATGAGCTGCTGGAGCCTTTAACAGGAGGCTATTACGTGGTTATACGTAAAGTGAGTGTGTGTAAGCATCTGAGGAAGGATGGGGGACTGCTAGAGGAGAGGGGGAGTTCTGGGCAGGGCTGATGTTGAGAAGAACAAGACGGCTGAAATGACAAATAAATAGTATCCACTGAGAGGCTAGGTGTCACAGATTCTGAAATGCCTATTAAACTCTCTAACATCTTCAGCCCTGATGTTAATAAGACTAGGTGATAAAACTTAAAGTCATGGAGGCCCCTCCAAGCTATCTCCTGTTGGCCTGGGGAGCGCAAGGAATTTGTCTCTGTCTTTGGGATGAGTCAGGTATATGTAATATGACTCAGCAAAACCGCTCCATCATTCAATTATTCCTAGATTAGCCGCCTTTTTATTTTTACTCCATTTCATTAATGAATATGCCATTGGTTATGATTCACAATTTTATTTTAGTTGTTTTTTTTTTTTTTTTTTTGATACAGAGTCTTGCACTGTCAGTCACCAGGCTGCAGTGCAATGGCGCGATCTCGGCTCACTGTGACCTCTGCCTCCTGGGTTCAAGCGATTCTCCTGCCTTAGCCTCCTGAGTAGCTTGGATTACAGGTGCCTGCCACCATGCCCAGCTAATTTTTTGTACTTTTAGTAGAGACGGGATTTCGCTATGTTGGTCAGGCTGGTCTCAAACTCCTGACCTCGTGATCTGCCTGCCTCGGCCTCCCAAAGTGCTGGGATTACAGGTGTGAGCCACCAAGCCCGGCCTATATTAGCTATATATAGCGAATATCAAGCCCAGCTTAAACACTCAACTTTGGGATTTGGTGGAGTTAGGAAAAGGTATGTCATGGATTGAAAAAAAAATTAGATGTTTGTAATTCCAAGGTATATAATGCCTTGAAACCAAGGTGGCAAGTATTAGTTGATTCTCTTCAGGATCACAGTCAGGAAGGGCTTTGCAGATGTTTTTATGAATCTTCAGAACAGCTGGAGGGAAAATTCTATATACCTTCCCTCTGTTTACCCTCTAACAGACTGACAAGTATTATCTCTGTTCTCAGGTACAGTCAGATTCCTGTTCCTGAGCAGAAGAGAAATCAGAAGTAGGAATAAATCTCTCCCCTAGAAAATGGGGATAAAACTTAGCCTTAAAATGTGTTTATAAAGGACTTGATCTTTCAGTGAGTTTATTTAAAATTCGCAGTGAACTCAGTGCTAAGAATAAATATTTGCTGAACAAATTAACTGATTGAAAAGGTCAAACAAGAGCTGTCTCGTATTCTGTAGATTTTTTTTCTTTGATACCTGGAGATTTGATGACACTTTTTAAAGACCATCAAAATGGTCCAGAAAAGGTTTAAAAACACAACCAAATTAGCACTGTTAGTACATTAGCCATTATAAATGTTCCTTGGGCATTTCCCCTTTCTGTTTACTATGGCAGAGGAAAAGTTTCTGGTCCAGCGGGTCCTGGTCCTCCATGCTGACTTGGACATATTGCCATTTATCTCTCACTCAGTAATTCCTTGAAAACAACAACAAATTTTCAAACTGTATAATCAAAAGCAAATGGCCCTTAAATGGCCAAGGGTGTCTTAGCCCTCAGCCTGCTTTATGTGTTATCTCATCTTACCCTATGAAAGTTTTCCTGCTATTGTCCCCTTTTTGGTGAGTATTAGTAAAGTCACACAGACAGTAAGTAGCTGAGTCAGGATCTGAATCCAGGGGTAACAGACCCCCTGCCCTTATGATATGCCGCCTCCTACTTTCACCATCTACAGGAAAGTTCTAGAAAAAACTATGGGACACCTATGTGAATGCTTTGTCAACTGTAAGGAATTAATAAAAGCTAAAAAAATCACCAAGTGCCACCACTGGGATCCTGTCATTTCAAATGGGGAAAAGGCCTACCAGGTGGTTAGGTTAGTAAGTGGCATGGCAGAGACTGGAACCAGGGCTGTCAATTTCCTGGTAGGTCTGTGATCTTTCCAGGAGTATTAAAAGGTAGAGTCACAGTTCATGGCCCCTATCCACCTAGGAGCCACGCTGAGGTTGAGCTATCTGGGAAAGAATCTAGGAGAGATAAGGATATTGGCAAAAACTCCAGTCCCCTTTGCAGGGGCTAAGGAGGTCTCCCTCTAACTTCACTCATTTGGTTGACTGACATGAGAAGAATCACTCTGTGGATTGTGAATCTTCCACAGAGTCAAAGATATACAACTTACTTAGGCAGAAAAAGTATTTTGATATTCACAAAACTATCCACTACTCTATTTCTGTGAAGAAAATATTTTGACCCAATACAAGCTCATGGTATGGTATCTTGGGCGCTGGCTTGGCAGTCAAGGACCTGAGTTCTGTGCCTGGCTGGGTGATCCCGGCCATGGTGCTTCCTATCTCGAAGACTCTGTTTTCCAAGCTGCATATGCCTGCCCTACTCACTTGGGAGGATGAAGCACCATAGGCAGGTAAAGTATCACCATTATAATTACAAGAGTACCTTTAAAAAACCAAAAAAACAGGAAATATCAAGGATACTTTGTTAATGAACTTGCCAAATTAATGCTATTTTCCAGTCCTCATACTTGATTCAGTCTTCCAGCTATTGAGCAGAATCCTGATCAAAAGCACTTGTGTTGTTTCTAAACCTGTTTATTCCTGTTGTTCTTTTTATTGAAATTATGTAATTTAATGACTTGATGGTAAACCAGATATATGACTGTCAAAAGGTACTATTTCTATAAGTTTTAATGAAAGAAGCTAAAATATTGCTGTTAAATGTAGGTATAGAAGGCCAGGGGAAACTGGGGAAACATGGCAACTAAATGCAATGTGGTAGTCAGGATTAGGTCCTGGAACAGAAAGGGGACAAAAATGGAAAAACCAGTGAAATCCATATAAAAACTAGCATTCAGTCAATCTAAATGTATCATTGCCAGTTTCTCAGTTTTAACAAATGGATCACAGCAGTGTGAGATGCCAAGAATGGGGAAAGTAACTGACAAGAGCTATATGAGAACTCTCTACTCTTTGCAACTTTTCTGCAATTTAAAAATTATTCCAAAATAAAAATTAAAGTGTATTGTTTAAAAAGTGTGGGAAACACAGTTTTAAAAGATTGAGAACAATTATAAATATCTAGAAAGATTCTATGGTGATATTTGCAAGAGTCTTTACTGAACTTTAAAAATACAGTAGGGAAATTACAGATGCTGTCATTATGGAGTATGTAGGGAAGACCTATAGGACTGCATTCGACAGATTCATAATTCAAGTAAAAGCTTCATCCCTGCATCAGAATACAGACAAAGGATACAACATTTAATTTGTTGTAAGTTAAAGTGTTAAGGGATACAAGTGTCATTTTCCATGATTCCCAATTTTGGCCAATTTTTTTTCCATTAACCTACCACACTGGATAAGCGCTCTGCTCTATAAAGACAGATGGTATCAGCTGGGCATGGTGGCTCACGCCTGTAATCCCAGCACTTTGGGATGCCAAGGCAGGTGGATCACCTGAAGTCAGGAGTCTGAAACCAGCTTGGCCAATATGATGAAAACCAGTATCTACTAAAAATACAAAAAATTAGCTGGGCATGCTGGCGGGTGCCTGTAGTCCCAGCTACTTTGCAGGCTGAGGCAGGAGAATCGCTTGAACCCGGGAGGCGGAAGTTGCAGTGAGCCGAGATTGCGCCACTGCACTCCAGCCTGGGTGGCAGAACAATATGCTGTCTCAGGAAAAAAAAAAAAAAAAGGATAGATGGTATCAACACAAGAATTTTTGAGGCATGAATTAATTCAAGAGATTGTTCAGAGTCATTTACAAAGAGAATACCTGAGATGCAAGCCTGATATAATTTGAAAGTTGACTTTTTAAAAAAAAGTCTTGCAAATGGTCAGAATTCCTAGGATTTTTCAGTTGTTCTAATTAAGTCAGTCTAGGGAGGAATTCAATACAGTAACCCTTCATGAACAAGGAGAATTATAGAATGCACTGAAATAGCATAGTAAGAATAATCATCTCAGAAATTCAGGAGTTGGAATATACCTTCAAAATCATCTAGCAAACTACTTGTCTAATGGTACCTCCTCTACCCACCCACATAATACAATCTTCCAGCAAGCAGTGGGTGAGGAACCCACTACTGCTCAAGGCCATCAGTTTTCTCTTCAGACAGCTTTAAAATCTGTCCCTCTAAAAGATTCTACTCACGGATGCTTATCTGACATCTTTGGCCATAAGGAAGTGATCTAATTTCTCACTAATAGCAGAGTCAGCGATTATCTGAAGTTGAGTCATTTCTTCCATTGTTCATTTGCTCATTCATTCACCCATTTACCAAATATTGACAACAAATACGTGGAAAGTGCTGACCAGCACAGTAAATATAAACATAAAAAAGGTCATATATCTGCCTTCATGAAGCTGGTGGAGGAAGAGAAAATTTACAAACAAATAAATAGAAAATAATATGAAATATGAATATGTGAAAGTAATATGAAAAACGAAGGCTGTAATAGACAGTGCCTATTCAAAGTGCCTCCTGAAGAGTGGGTGGGCAAGGAAGGCTCAGAGCATGGGCCTATCTGGCAGAAGGGCTTTCTAGGAGAGGGACCCACTACTGCAATGATCCTAGAGCAGGAACAAGTACATCGTGTTGGAACACAAAGAAGGCCCGTGTGGCTGGAGTTTAGTGGGCAGGAGGGGTGAGTGGTGTGAGAGAAGACTGGAAAGGCAGAAGTGGTTAAATCAGTTTGTACGGCATGAGTATGAGGTTGGATTTGATTCCAAGAGGAATGAAGATGAAATAACAGAGTGCTGTGACCTATGCGGCAGGTGGAGACAAAGGAAGACCAAGAGTGGAAGCAGAGAAACCTGCTTGATATGGGCCAGGTGAGAAGGTGGTAGCTTGGATTACAAAAGCAGTAGGTGTGGAGATGGAGAGCAATGAATTGATTCCAGACACTTTTTGAAGTTAAGAGTCAACAGGACTAGCTGTCAGACATGAGAGCACAAAAGGAATCAAGGAAAAGTATGACACATTTGGCATATGCTATGAAAAGGGATTTCCTTTGTGGGATCCCAGTAAATCCTCTTAAACAATCAGTGGAGCAGGTAGCCTTACACTCATTTTTATATGAGGATACTGAAATGTCAGGGATGAAATGATTTGCCAAGGGTTACAAAGCTTGTGAAGCAAGGATTTGAATTCAGGACTTCTGACCCAGACTTTTCTATGATTGCAGCTTTTATTTCAATATTTTATGTTTCTTGTCAAAGAAAAAAACTCAACAAAACACATTCTATTAACCACGTGTTTTTATAAAATAGAGGGTAGAAATAGAGGGTGCAAACTGAGAGGAGGAAACCAGGACAACATAACTCATCCTTCCCACCTAGAAATGTCACAATCACAGCTTCAAAGGAAAACACAAACTTCTTCCATTAATTAAACGGATGAATCAAGTTTCAGTTTCCTCTCTCCTTTCTGTACAACTTGTCTTTGAAGGCATTTCATTTGGGAAATGTGTGACCTTTAGTCACCATGCTCAATTAATTGAATGCTTTGCATCAAAAGTCACCATGCCGATCCACATTTTACACCCACTGCTTTTCTGAAATACTTATCCCAGTTCCTTAGGTCTGTTTTGTTGAAATCATTTTACAAAAATAAATCATATCAAAGTTTTTTTTATTATTTCTAAAACTTTGCTTGCAAAACTAAATATTTTTAACACCATGGCAACATGGTCAGGACTCTGGCTAATGTATCCAGTCTCGTACCAGAGCTCAGACTTAGTAAACTACTGCTGTGGACAAATGGGCTGTGAAGGAGGAAAGAGCTAATAAATTAGACATGGTCAATAATCATTCAAGTCATGTCTTCTGGAGCTTCCCAAAAGGTGATAAATTAGCCAGACCTGTCCTAATGATCAATACCCTGCTCTCCCTTCTAGAACACACCAGCATCCATTGAGTAAAGTGCAGACTGCAAGGCCTCTCAGGAATTTAAGTACTACCTCACACCTCCTGAGGTACTTCCTCAGGCATCGCCTCATCTGACCCTTTCAATATCCCTTTGTGTTGGGCAGAATCCAGAAGTATGATCGGCTCCATTTTTTTTTTCAGTTGAGAGTCACAGAGGCTAAGTGATGTGGCAAAGTGCATGGTTTATCATGTGATAAGAGGCAGAATTAACTTTAAACTTACATCTCCTAAATCTCAGTTCAGTACTATTTTCAACACACCAGCCTCTGTCATTGAAACTTAACAAATTCACAAATGCTTTGTTTCATTGTGGGATTTTTTGTTTTTATGTATTTGTCAAAGTTATACGTGCACGCAGTTTAAAGAATCAGTACATTCTATGCACTTTAAGAACAGCAGTCCCCCATCTCCACCCCACCATTTCCTCAATTCTTCCTCCTCAGAGGCTACCTCTTTTACCAATTTTATGTGATTATTTGGTGCTTAGTAGTATGTCTCTAACAAGCTTCTATTGTTTTTTTTTTATTTTTCTCTTTATCAACTATAAATGATGTAGTTCTTTCCTTCACTCCCGCCTCTTCACTTCCATCACCCCAATATAGCACACGGTACCATGACTTGGTTAGACTAGCGTTTGGTGTTGACATTATTATGACTTTGCAAAAACAACTCGCAGTCCCAGCTGATATATGGAAACTCTGATTATTCCACATTTCCCGCACATTTCCTCTTTCTCTCACACTTGCTCTCAGAATTTTTTTTTCTGATTTAGTTTGTTTTCTATGAGCTTAACGTTAAATGAACCTCACACTTGTTACTAGTTGTATAAAATCTCTTGTCCAAACGTTCAGATATATTAGATGTATTAATTGTGTATTCCTTAAGAACCTTCTCCATGATGCTTTTGACTTAATCAAATCTGAAATGTTTTCTTTCAATGTCTGGCTGCCATCCTGGGCTTTTTCTCTGTGCTGGAGGCTCCATTCACCTTCCTTCTCCACTGAATTTTTATTTCCTGTGACCTATGTCTTCCTCTTTAATGGGACAGCACTTTCTTTAGTAGCATCCTGAAGATAACTGTATGGGAGATAAGTATTTTGAGAAATTGCATGTCTCAAAATGTTTTTAATCTGTCCTCATATTTGACTAATAGTTTGGTGGATATAAGGTTCTGGACTGGGAATAATTTTTCTTCAGAATCCTGATGCATTTGTAGCTTTTAGTAATGCTACTGAAAAGTCTGAAGTCATTCTGTTTCCTGACTGTGTGTGTAATCCATCCCCACATCCCACCTACTCCTAGAAGGGGGTGAGCTTTTCTTTTTGTCCTAAGTATTCTGAAATGTTCTAGTAATAGTATAAATCTGTTTTACTTCCCCCATATTAGTCAAATATCACATGGTAAGTGGCAGAATTAACTTTAAACTTTTGTCTCCTAAATCCTAGTTCAGTGCTATTGTCAACACCCCAGCCTATGCCATTGAAACTTAACTGCCATTCACAAAGCTTCATTTCATTGTGGGGTTTTTTGTTTTTGCATATTTTTTGTATATTTTGTATATTAATCAAATACGGGGGAGTAAAACAGATTTATACTATTATTAAAACATTAAAACTTTTTAGGCCTTTTAAAATTAGGAACTCATCCAACATTTTTAGACATTTTAAATGACTGTATTAATTTATGTACAAATATGTATGACTTTCTGCATGTTTGTATAAATATGCACAAACTTGTGGTACATGTAAGTCTTATAGTAAAAGTTGGATTGCTTCTCACCTCCTATCACTCCTGGATTAGAATTCAGCTTTCTTGTTTGATTAATTCATTTATCATGTATACATCTGTTTTTGAGTTTCCAAAATTTTGTGGTTCTCTCTATGCTTTAAAATTGATGCTTTTAAAGAATTCTACTATCGTTCTAGAAATTTTCAAAAGGAACTGAAATTCCATGAGTGTTCAGTCCTTGATGAGTGTTCAATCAATGACGTTTCCACCAAAGTCCTCCAAAAGGTTTCCAAAGTGACTTTTCCCCCTTACTAGAACCATATTGTTGTTTATGGGCCATGTTTTAATTAGTAATTAAAGAAAATTTTCACCCTCATGACAAGATCTAATTTTTGTCTTTTTTCCTCTTACAAGAAGCATTTAAACTCTCATGGAGGGAAAGCCACTTGAAGACACCAGGTGGCAGAGGTCATTCGTTTTGCAGGGTCAGGGCTGGTCTTGAGCACAGGAAGCATAGCTCACCCTCTTATGTGACTTGACAAGTTCTGGAAAATTCCCTTACCTTCTCATCTACATCAGGAGCCCAATACATCTAACTTCCACACATGGAAGAGATAACAAAACCTTGCAGGTTGCCCAGGGATGGCCCTTTAGTCCTCTGCTATTAGTTCAGTTAGCCACATCAGACTAGTATGCTTTCTTTTGGGTCACGAAGGAATAAAACAGAGGCTAGGTCAATGTCAGAGAGACAGAGAGGGAGTCAGAGAAACTGAAAAATATTGACAGGCAGGAGGTGGAAGGAGAGAGACTACAATAGGCAGACTGGTTGAGTGGTTGTATGTAGAGACAAGAGAAAGCCTGAATTCAATCCAATTTTTATCTGTAGTCCCTTTAGAAGATGAGCCACAGAACGAAGTGGGGCTTATTCTTCAAACTTTATCATTCTGGATCACATTTTTTGTGCTTTTAGGGTGAGCCTGCAAACTGTAAAGGAACAAAGTACGGCACAGATAAACCTGTTTCAAATTTCAGCTTTGCCAGTAGTAGCAAAGTAACTTCCACTTCCTTACTGTAACAACACAGGTAATAACACTTACTTTGAAGGAGTTTTAAGAAATAGAAATGATGTAAGCAAATTTGCTGGTATTAAGTGCTCATTAAATGGTAAGTGTTGTCATTAGTGATGGTGGAAATGGACACACGCCACACCCTTAACCACATTTATAGACCCTTTGTCCACTGTCTACACTGGTAGGGAGGAGAATTTTATTGCTGCCATTGTTTAGAATTGCTAGTGCATAATGATAATAAAAAACGAACTGACTTCTAGTTGACTTTATTATTGCTTTTAGATTCTCTACAGACATGCCAGATAAAAAACAGTACACCAAGTTAAATTAGAATTTCAGATAAGAAAAAATTTTTTAGTGTAAGTGTGTACCATGCAATATTTGAGATACACTTACATTTAAAAAAAAACCCTGAAAGAAAAGTATTGGGCCTCCTGAATTTTATTTAATAAATTTGACAACCCTAAGAGTAAGGAAGAACCATTTTGCTTCCTAAGATAATATCAACAGGAAACACTTTCTTAAATTCTCTTTGGGGCCCAATAGCACTGACTGACTCAGGCAAGGGCCACACTTTCATCGGAGTGGACAGATACATTGATTCCTGACAGAACAAGAGCCAGCATGGCTGTAAGAAGCCAGAATCAAAGAGGATGGTGACGAGGCAAACTTGCATTAAAAGCTGCTGAAGAGCAGGGACAGAGGAACCGTTTCCCCTCCCACAGTAACACAAAGTTGAATATCCATTAGATTAGCAACCAGTTCTTAGCATTCCTCCCTCCTACTCATAGTCAACTCTTGATCAACTGCAGTAATAGGAAGAGAAAAGGACATCACACATAACCCCAAATGAAAATGAAAACAAAACTGATCAAGGGTAAGATCAGGTCCAGTGGTGGCTCATGCCTGTAATCCTGGCACTATGGGAGGCCAAGGCCGGAGGATCGCTTGAGCCCAGGAAATTTGAGACTAGCCTAGGCAACACAGTGAGACCCTGTCTGTACAAAAAATACAATTTACAAAATTAGCTGGGCGTGGTGGTATACATCTGTAGTCCCAGCTGCTTAGGAGGCTGAGGTAGGAGGATTGCTGGAGCTCAGAATATTGAGGTTTCAGTGAGCCATGATTGTGCTGTTACTCTCAAGCCTGGGCAATAGAGCAAGAACCTATCTCAAAAAAAAAAAAAAAAAAAAAAAAAAAAAAAAAGAATGAGATCAAGCGGTAAGTAATGACATGTGGCCTTGTTTCTGCTAAGTCAGACCTGCCCTCCCCTACGTTACTAGAGATCCTGACTCCTGCAGGCAGGACCCAGTAATATCATTTCACCAACAACCGTGTTGCTAGTACAATCAATATCCTTTCTTCTTAAAGTACCTTTTACACAACTTATGCTCTGTAAAAATATTACTAAGTAGACAATGAAAGGGAAAAGAAAGCAAGCCAATGTTTCATGCTTTAAGTTAGGAAATGCTGTTTTAAACAGCATTAAACTTTTTTTTAACTACAGAACTTCCCAGAGGCTTTAATAAGCTCATGTGCTTTGAATCCCTAGGATATGATTTTCGTACAGAGCATGTCCAGGTTTATTTGATCATAGACTCTTTCAGAGAACAACAGTTCCAGTTCACATTTCAGGTAATATTTTTAGGTGCTACTATTTGACGAATCCTACATCTATAGTTTCAGCAATGCTGCACGCGCATGTGTGTGTTTGTGTATGTGTGTGTGTCTGTCTCTGGTATTAACTGGTGCAATCAGAAAGAAGAGTCCACTCCTTGGTGTATTAGTTTCTGATTGCTACTATAATAAATTAGCACAAACTTAGGAGGCTTAAAACACCAGAAATATATCACCTTTTAGTTCTATATGTTAGAAGTCTGACATGGGACTCACAGGCTAAACTCAAGGTGCTGACAGGGCTGTACTCCCTTTTAGAGGCTCTAGGGAGAATCTGTTCCTTGCCTTTTCCACTTCTAGAGGCTTCCCACATTCCTTGGCTCACGGCCCACTTCCTCCATCTTCAAAGCCAGCGACATTACATCTCTCTGATCATTCTTACGTCGTTATATCTCCCTCTGATCATAGCCAGGGAAAGTCCTCAGCGTTTAAAGACTGACTTTAAAGATTCATGTGATTAGATTAGGCCCACTTGGACGGTCCAGGATAATCTCCCCATGTCAACATCAGCAAAGTCCCTTTTTGCCATGTAAGGCAACATGTTCACAGATTCTAGGGATTAGGGTTTGGACATCCTTGGGGGGCATTATTCTGCCTACCACATATGGGTGGGTAAGAACACCCTGAGAGTTCCAGCCAGCAAGGACAAAGAGGGAGAATGAAAGTAACTATTGCCATTGTTTGTGTTTTCTCAATTATTGCTTACAACTTCACAGTATCAGGGAAATTGAAATTATTGTCTTGTTAAGGGATGTAGAACAATAAACAAAATATGGAACATGTTCCCAAGCACCAAGAACTTGGTTCTCTCTTTACAATGTAGAGAAGCAAGCACAAGTGCTCTGTGAATTAGATACTCCACAAACATAGCCAGCTGGCCTCTCAGCAACACCGGCTGATTATACAGGCTGTGCACTTTCCAGTGAAAGGTACATGCCCTTAATCAGCTTTATTGAAGCTGCCCTCACTAAGAAACTGTGCAGACATTATTTCCTATGATGCAGGTCCTATAACTGTCCCATTTTACAGGTGAGAAAGTGAATACTTTCTACGATTATGCTACTTGACAAGCTGTTACTTTCACTGAACCAGTAAAACATACACATCTGAACTCAAAGCCTGATCTTAGTCCTATGTAATGTGCCTATTTGTATGTCTATTTGACAATCCATCTACCTGGACTTCTTCCCCTTTCCAATTCCAACCCAAAGCAAGTTCCTTCCTGTGACTCTATCTGATCTGACAGTCTACATGTGTGGTTTTGGGAGTGTGTGCACACGTGTGCATGCTTGTGTATATATGTTCAGTAACTCTAATTTTTTTCTTCATGAGGCTTCACATTTTGAATGCCAAAACTTTCTGTCTGATCTCCAATCAGATGTGGTGACTTCTGGGTCACAGGCGTGATATGTATTGAACACATGCCTTAGAAGTCGTATCTAGTTTCAAAACTTGACTAGATCATCACCTCTGAAACACTGGCAAATTACTTGAGCACCACAAACTTCAGCTTTCTTATCTTGTGAGAAGTCAAAAATAGTATCTGCCTCACAAGGTCACTGCAGAATTAAAAGAGGTGATATAGATAAAGCACTTGATAGATAATAATGACACAATAAGTTGCAGTTGATACTATTATCAATTCCATGCTACGTTTACCTGCATAAAAATGCCATTCAAAGTTCTTGCCTCTCTGAAAGATGCTTAATGACAACTTCTACTTAAATCAGTGACATTAGTATGACCAATAACCATAGGTTAATTCACATTAGGTTAAGGTGTGTTAATACTATTTTTTTTTTTTTTTAAAAGACTCTGCCTGCCTGGAGATCTAGGGCCTGATACTTCTTGAAATTTGCTAATCACATCTGGTTTAGCTTTAGACATTTTCTGGGATTTTGCCAGCAGCTACGACACTTTAATGGCTACAATAAACCTCAAAGCCTCATCAAATCTTTGCTGTATGTGTGAAAATTATGTCCTCTTCAATTAAACATTCAATCTCAGCTCACACCAAGGCCTTATGGAAAAGGAGGTGAAACCTGAATGGAAACGTTAAGATGAAACGGACCGCCACGATTCTGGCCATCTTGCCAGATGGTATTTAGAAGAAAAAGAAATTCATTAGAGAACCTACGGTGTGTATTTTCTTTAAATATTTACTGGGTACCTTTCATGTGTTGAAAACACTGGCATCTCTAAAGATTAGCAGGGCATTTTTGTTTAAATATTCCATGTGTGTGAGGTGGGGGGAGTCATTTCCTCATTTGCCTTTGTGGTACTTCATGTGTTTTGGTGAAGCCTGGTACAAAGAAGAAAAGTAACTGAGACAATGTTCAGTTTTCTTTCCTAAGGCCGCTCTACCTGCTTCAAAAGCTCTTGTATTTTCCTAAAATCGGCTGAGGAAAGTGTCAGTTGAGTACTGAGAGATCCGGAACGACAATTCAGAGCCTCCCTAGACAAAAGAAGGTGTACCAAAGTGAGGCGCTATGGGGGAACCCTTGTCTCTCTGCTCGCCTCCCAGTTCACTCCTCTTATCCTCTTGCTATTTATCATCAAACGTACAGGGACGTCAAAGTGAGGCAGCCCCTGGAAGGAGAAGGGAAAAGATCAAACAGGGATCAGGTTTCGGCTCAAAGACTATAGGAGAGGTCAGGCCAAGGGTTTCACAAGGGGCCAAGAGACAAGAGGGAATGGGCATTCAGGAACAGCCGTGGAGCAAACAAGCTCCCCTGCCATTGCTAACTCTTGCTGCCACACTGAGGACCAGCCTGGGCCCTAATTCTACCAGTGGAGAGGGACAGACAAAAATGCTAGCTGGTAGCTTACTACGCTTTATTACAATATTAATCAAGCTCCTCAACTTCAACAAGGATACAACCGCCAATTCTTCAGGAGACAGAAAATAACGACCGCAAGTTCACATATCGCATTTCTAAAGGAAGCATCCATTTGTTTGAATTCATTCAACCACATCAATGGGAGAAAAAAAACCCACGTTCCTTTAAAAATAATATACAAGATAAAAATATTCACCTGTAACCATTATCCTTTCCATGTAAGTTTTATGCCCAAAGTAAAAATAAATGGCTCTCTTTGCCACCGGGAGCAGATCTTTCCCACTTTACTTCCATTTCCAAGCTGTTCTCAGCCTCAGACTTAGGTTTCTGAGTACTCTTTCACAATAAACATTTTAAAAATGTTTACTTTATGTCTTGGTCTTAAAATATTCCTGGTTGAAGCCCTTCATTTCCTCAAGCTCTGCTTCTGGCACTCTGGGCTCCATTTCCACATTAACACGCTCTCTAAATCCTCCGCAGAGCTCTTCAATTGGAGTTATACAAGCTCCAAGGCAAGTATTTATATTCTTGGACAAGGAGATGTCTCCACAGTAAAAACACGAGACTCTAGAAATGCCAAAGGAAAATTCCTGCCCAAGTGAGACATATTTTCACCTTTTAAAAAAGCCAAAAAGGGGCTTTCAGCATTTTCTTTTGACTAATTAAAAATGTAAATTAAACTAAAATGGAATGTTTACTGTGGGCCTTACCATCATTATTAGACTCATATATAAACCAAACATACAGGAACATGTGTGTATGTGTACGATATGTATGATATACATATATATTTAAAGCAGCAGAGTAAACTAGCTAATGTGTAAGTTCTAGAAACTAGAAACTAGAAAATGTGAGTTCTAATTAGACAGACTTGATTAGACTTGATTAGAGCTCAGTAAATCTGTCTATTACTGGCTGTGTGAACTTAACTTCTCTAAGCCTCATTTTTCTCATCTGTAAAATGGGTTTAGTGTAGTTCCAGCTTATTAAGATTGTTATATGAGACAACAGTAAGCATCTAGTAAATGGTTACTGCTATTATCATTAATAATGTTATAACTACTAAATGTTAGAAAATGTAGATATAACGAGATATGGATATAAGAAACAAATGATCAACACTAATAAAAGAGAAGAATTTGAAAATACAGTGCCTCTACACACTGTGTAGAGAAGGAAAGTTTCCTGAAAGCTGTAGTGTACCATTGCTGAACTCTGCACCAATCCCACTCTATGAACCAGACCTAAATAATCCTCTTAAAACATTTTTTAAAAGTAATCTTAGCTATTATCATAATAGCAGAACAGTTCCTATTACCTTCTAGTTGCCTCTTCAGTTTTCTCAAATCTTTTATGAGGTCTTCAAACTTGACTTGGGAGGCCAGAAAGAAATCCTGTGGTTCCGGCAAGGGGAAAACACTCTTTTCTGTTCCAGCTTCCTAAGAGATATGGTAAACAAAAGTACATTATACTTCCCAATTGTCACTTTCAGTTGAAATTCCAAAGCATCAATGAGAAAAAAAAAAGCTTTTTTATTGGATGTCTGAGTAAGAATCATAGCAATGCTCCTCTGCTATTCCTAAATTTGGACTTGTGACTTTGAAGTGCTTTCTTGTCTTTCACAATCTCTTTTTGGACTTATTGGCAATGAGGTCGGCTATGGCATGGGCCAGGTTCTATTTTGCCTCATGAATCAAAGAGAAAATTGTCAGGTCGTCCTGATCTTGGACACTCCACTCCCATGAAAAATGGAAGAGGGGAACACATGAAAGTACTTACATTTGAAGTCCCCATTTGATTTACACATGCTAGCAATTAGACAAGTCATCTTTGGGGCATACCAATGGGTGTGAATCAGAAGGTGCTGGATAAGAAGGCACTGCAATGGAAGATACAATCACCCTCCCATCACCTTTCCTCACCTTTCTCTGTGGCTTAAAGCTCTTCTGTGTGCATGCATGATCAGATTCTTTGTATATGGGTGTATCTACACATATACACAGGTTTTTTTTTTTTTTTTTTGGAGATAGGGCCTTGCTTTGTCACCCAGGCTTGAGTGCACTGACACAATCACGGTTCACTGCAGCCTTGACCTTCCAGGTCCAAGCGATCCTTCTAGTTCAGCCTATTAGCTGGGACCACAGGTACGTGCCACCATACCCAGCTAATTTTTAATTTTTTGTAGAGACGGGGGTCTCACCATGTTGCCTAGGCTGGTCTCTAACTCCTGGGCTCAAGCGATCCTCCAGCCTTGGCTTCCCCAAAATTCTTCATATATTTGAAAAGCTTTTGCAAATGTTGTCTGGCTTATCTTAGGAGACCGAGGGCAGGGTGAAGTATAGTTTTAACAAGCTCCACTGCTATAGCTAATGGAGAATTCTCAGCTGAGAAACATCTTGAAGGACAAAAGCTTCAGGCACATGAGCCTCAAATATCTTTTCCAGTCTAGCTAGCTTTCTCCCTGAGTTGTTTAACGTAAGCTTTGTATCTTGCATGTCTTAGGCCGTCTTCAATTATTCCTCTCTCTGCACAGGCTACTTTGCCAGCTTTCCTTCACATTCCATCTTCCCTACTGCCATTAGGACTAATTCCAAACTCTAAAACTGCTTTACAAGGCACTTTATGATCTGGCCTCTGTCTACATCTCTGGCCTCATTTTTACCTTCCCCCTATCTCCAACTCCCTCTAGACCTTCATGAAATAACAGACCACAATCTCTTGCTTCTAGGCCTTTGTCTATAAAATGGTCCCTTTCCGACCCTTCCCTAGTGCCTCCTTACACTTCCTTGTTCATACTCATCCTTTAAGTCTTAAAACAAACGTCCTTCCTTAAAGATTTCCCCTAACCTCCAGCACGTGGGTGTTTCTCCCCTGTTCTCCAAAGGCCTATGACGCTTACATTATCACAGCATTTATCACCATTAATTTTTTTCCCATAAGTTATTGGGGTAGAGGTGGTATTTGGTTACATGAGTAAGTTCTTTAGTGGTGATTTGTGAAATTTTGGTTCCCCTATCGCCCAAGAAATATACACTGCACCCTCTTTGTAGTATTTTATCCCTCATCCCCCTCCCACTCTTATCCCCAAGTTCCCACAGTCCATTGTATCATTCCTATGCCTTTGCATCCTCATAGCTTAGCTACCACATATCAGTGAGAACATACGATGTTTGGTTTTCCATTCCTGAGTTACTCCACTTAGAATAATATTCTCCAATCTCATCCGGGTCGCCGAAAATGCTGTTAATTCATTCCTTTTTATGGCTGAGTAGTATTCGATTGTATATATATATATCAGTTTCTTTAATCACTCTTTGACTGATGGGCATTTGGGTTGGTTCCATGATTTTGCAATTGTGAACTGTGCTGCTATAAACATGCACGTGCAAGTATCTTTTTCATATAATGACTTCTTTTCCTCTGGATAGATACCCAGTAGTGGGATTGCTAGATCAAATGACAGCTCTACTTTCAGTTCTTTAAGGAGTCTCCACACTGTTTTCCATACTGACTGTACAAGTTTACATTCCCACCTGCAGTGTAGAACTGTTCCCTGATCATGGCATCCATGCCAACATCTGTTTTCTGATTTTTTGATTATGGCCATTCTTGCAGGAATAAGGCAGTATCGCATTGTGGTTTTGATTTGCATTTCCCTGATCATTAGTGATGTTGAGCATTTTTTCATGTTTGTTGGCCATTTGTATATCTTCTTTTGGGAACTGTCCATTCATGTACTTCGCCGACTTTTTGATGAGATTGTTCTTTTCTTACTGATTTGAGTTCACTGTAGATTCTGGATACTAGTCCTTTGTCAGATGTATAGATTGTAAAGATTTTCTTCTACTCTTAGGTTGCCCCTTTTGAGGTACCAAAGCTCTTTGGTTTAACTAAGTCCCAACTACTTATCTTTGTTTTTATTGCATTTGCTTGTGGGTTCTTGGTCATGAAATCCTTGCCTAAGCCAACATCTAGAAGGGTTTTTCCAATGTTATCTTCTAGAATTTTTATAGTTTGAAGTCTTAGATTTAAGTCCTTAATCCATTGAGTTGATTTTTGTGTAAGGTGAGAGATGAGGATCCAGTTTCATTCTCCTACATGTGGCTAGCCAATTATCCCAGCACCATTTGTTGAAAAGGGTGTCCTTTTCCCACTTTATATTTTTGTTTGCTTTGTTGAAGATCAGTTGGCTGTAAGTATTTGGGTTTATTTCTGGGTTTTCTGTTCTGTTCCATTGGTCTATGTGCCTATTTTTATACCAGTACCACGTTGTTTTGGTGACTGACTATGGCCTTATAGTATAGTTTGAAATCAGGTAGTGTGATGCCTCCAAATTTCTCTTCTGCTTAGTCTTGGCTCCCGCCACGTGGGTTCTTTTATGGTTCCGTATGAGTTTTAGAGTTCTTTTTCTTGAGACGGAGTCTCGCTCTGTCGCCCAGGCTGGAGTGCAGTGATGCGATGTTGGCTCATTGCAGGCTCTACCTCCCGGGTTCACGCCATTCTCCTGCCTCAGCCTCCCAAGCAGCTGGGACCACAGGCACCCGCCACCACGCCCAGCTAATTTATTTTTAGTAGAGACGGGGTTTCACCATGTTAGCCAGGATGGTCTCAATCGCCTGACCTCTTGATCTGCCTCGGCATTCCAACTGGGATTACAGGCGTGAGCCACCGTGTCCAGCCTAGAGTTGTTTTTTTCTAATTCTGTTAAGAATGATGGTGGTATTTTGATGGAGACTGCACTGAATTTGTAGATTGCTTTGGGCAGTATGGTCATTTTCACAATATTAATTCTACCTTTTCACAATATTGATACTACCCATCCATGAGCATGGGATAGGTTTCCATTTGTTTGTGTTGTCTACGGTTTCTTTCAGCAATATTTTGTAGTTTTCCTTGTGGAGGTCTTTTGACTCCTTAGGTATATTACTATACACACATATATATATATGTATATATTTGCAGCTATTGTAAAAGAGGTTGAGTTCTTGATTTGATTCTCTGCTTGGTCACTGTCGGTGTACAGAAGAGCTACTAATTTGTGTACATTAATCTTGTATCCTGAAACTTTGCTAATTATTTTATCAGTTATAGGCGCTTTCTGGAGGAGTCTTTAGGGTTTTCAAGGTAAACAATCATATCATCAGCAAACAGTGACAGTTTGAACTCCTCTTTACTGATTTGGATGCCCTTCCTTTCTTTCTCTTGTCTGATTGCTCTGGCTAGGACTTCCAGTACTATGTTGAAGAGGAGTGGCGAGAGTGGGCATCCTTGTCTTGTTCCAGTTCTCAGAGGGAATGCCTTCAACTTTTCCCCATTCAATATTATGTTGGCTGGGGGTTTGTCATAGATGGCTTTTATTACATTGAGATATGTCCCCTGTATGCAAATTTTGCTGAGAGTTTTAATCATAAAGGAATGCTGGATTTTGTTGAATTCTTTTTCTGCATCTATTGATATGATCATGTGATTTCTGTTCTTAATTCTGTTTATGTGGTGTTATCACATTTATTAACTTGCGTATGTTAAAACCATCCCTGCATCCCTGGTATGAAACCCACTTGATCCTGGTGGATTATCTTTTTGATATGTTGTTGGATGCAGTTAGCTAGTATTTTGTTAAGGATTTTACCATCTATGTTCAACAAGGATATCGGTCTGTAGTTTTCGTTTTTGGTTATGTCCTTTCCTGATTTTGGTATTAGGGTGACGCTTGCTTCATAAAATAAATTAGGGAGGCTTCCCTCTTTCTCTATCTTGTGGAATAGTGTCAAAAGGATTGTTATCAATTCTCCTTTGAATGTCTGGTAGAATTCTGCTGTAAATCCATCTGGTCCTGGACCTTTTTTTTTGTTGGTAATTTTAAAATTATCATTTAATTCTTGCTGCTTGTTACTGGTCTGTTCACGGTATCTAATTCTTCCTGATTTAAGCTAGGAGGATTGTATTTTTCCAGCAATTTATCCATCTCTTCTAGGTTTTCTAGTTTATGTATCACCATTAATTTTTAAATTGCCATGTTATCTTGTACATCTTCCCCACTAGACTCTAAACACCTCAGAGGCAGAAACTGTGTCTTGTTCTTGGTATGGTAAACAACATCTGGCATATCAATAAGCTTTATTTTTGGTTGATGGGCACTACTACAGAGGGCTTGTAAAACATGGTTCTGAGATGTATGTACCTTTAGCAGGAGACATCTAATTTATCACTATGTTTTCTTGTAGTTTCAGGAATCCTCTTGACCCTTCCTCTTTAAGGCCATTAGCTTTGTTAGGGATACTAGGATACAGTAGTTTTCTTCATTTTATCAGACACAATGTACTTTTTTCCCCCATCTTCATATACTTATTTTACTACTTTAAAATGGAAGCAGTACTCTCATCTGAGTGCCAAGATGGAACAACATCTAAGATCCTCACTACAAAGCTCCATGCTAATCTATGCTGGAAGAACTCAGGCATAGTATCTCTTTCCATTTTCCAAAACTTTATCAGATTCAGTCCTGGTTTTGATTGCGTGTGTGTGTGTGCGCGCTCGTGCGCGCGCTAGAAAAAAGGAAATGTTGCTGAGTGTATCAGGCTGGTAGCAGCTCTTATGAAAGCTGCTTAATTAGAGTTAAAAAGGCATGACTCTACATGGGTTTCTTTAAATTTCACAGACCAAGACTTGGACCAAAAACCAGGCATGAGAATAAGGAAGCAGGGAGCAGGAGTCATCTTTCTTTAGCTAATTGCTCATCACCACTAACCAAAAAAGTCATCACTTAGGCTCCTAGAGGAAAGGGCCAGTTTCATAAATCACATAATTCTACCCTCTTGTTGAGTGAAATGCATTTTGCACAGTAAAAGCCAGAAGAGCACCACACTACTGTGGGCTTATTTTTCCTAGACTGGGCCATCCCATGTTTGAAACTGTTCTCATTGTAAGATTTTCCTCTGTGAAGTTGATTCCACTGGGTTCAGCTCTTTTCAACCACAACTATATTCCACAGGCATATTTCAGCCTTCCCACACAATGCATTTGACTTGGTTGGGGTAGGTACTACCAATAAATCTGCCCATGCCAACCTAGGGTTAGAAATGTCACCCTCAAAGATTCTTCAGGATAATTCTTCTGCCACACTAGTACCTGCTGTCAAAACCTAGGGTATGTGCTTATGTGCCCGCTGCTGCTTCTTAATTTCCTGAAGCTAAACATGCCTTCCTCACTCCACCAGAAAACAGCTCTCATCTCCTCATATCTAGTTCTTTACAGATGCCACTTATTACACGTTTGTGAATATTAACATTATATCCAGTTCAGCAAGTTTTATCAGACACCTGTATTACAGGCAGTAAAAAAGAGACAATGGCCAGGTATGGTGGCTCATGCCTGTAATCTCAGCACTTTGGGAGGCCAAGGCGGGTGGATCACTTGAGGTCAGGAGTTCGAGACCAGCCTGGCCAACATAGTGAAACCCCGTTTCTGCTAAAAATACAAAAAAAATTAGGTGTGGTGGTGCACACCTGTAGTCCCAGCTACTTGGAAGGCTGAGGCACGAGAATTGCTTGAACCTGGGTGGCGGAGGTTGCAGTGAGCCAAGATTGCACCACTGCACTGCAGCCTGGGTGACAGAGCGAGACTCCATCTCAATTAAAAAAAAAAAAAAAGAGAGACAACAATGAATTCTGAACCTCAAAAACCAATGCCAAGATAATAGGTAATTCCTCATATATACATACAAGGCAGAATAAGATGCATCTTGAGAAAGATTCAAACAAAGTACTTCTCAGGCTTCAAAGCCTTCCTTCAAAGATCAGGATGTTAATAACGACCTCAAAAAAGGGCCATGTAAGATTAGACTAAGTTATTTTTCACTACATCTTTTTTCCTGTTTACAAAAGTGATACATGTTCATTATGTTTAGTAATGGAAAGAGAGAAGACAGTTAAAAAAAAAAAAACGCTTACAATCCTAATATTCAGAAACATTTTAATGTATTTTTTTCAGGTTATTCTGTGTATTTATATTTATCTACTACATATTTGGTATTATACTATATGTTATTTTGAAACACTGCTTGTAAATTAAAAGCAGATCAAAATTATTTTCTAATACCACTATATTCTCTCCTATACACTCTCCATAAGAGTATATTATTCCAGTGTGTGACTCTAGTATAATTTATTTGACCTTGGTCTCCATCATTGTACACCTACCAAAATTTTTCCAATATTTTGCTATCATAAGCTATTATAAGTAAATAGTCATTAAATCCTTAGTTGTTTTCTTAGGGTAGAAATTTCTTAAAAGGTTACACGTATTTCTAGGGCTGTTGATACAGAAAGGTTGAAAACCTTGCTTATGATCCTGAGATTCATGAGTGTGATGGATTGGGTGTTCGTATGCATGTGTGAGATGCGCCACCATTGAACCTTGTTAAGATATGGACACATTACCTGTCTGACATGAAGAAAAAAGGAAAAAATGAAAAAATGTGGGAAAAAAGGGAAACAAAAAGAGGAAGGAAAAAAAAAAACAAAAACACAACCTTGCTTGCCCATAAAGCATACATGTATAAATTAGGAAAATGTGTTCCTGTAGGTAGGAACAGCTTTATGGGCAAACAGCTTGACAAGCACATGGCATCTTTATGTGAATTTTTTAAAGTGTGCCCTTTATAGGATGTATAATTTGGTGAATCAACGGCAGGCTAAATATGAGTCCCATTTGACTTAGAGACCTTAAACAGAGAATATATTGATTTACCATACATGACAGTCCTGAGAAAGGTTTGATCAATTTACAGTGCTAATTCTATATATCTAGTTGGCAATTTATGTCTTCTATATGTCTTTTGTAAATTGCCTGTGATATATTTTGCCATTTTTTAAAAATAAGGAAGAAAGTTTTTTTTCTTGTTAATTCTCGAGTTCATTGTCTATTATGTTGTAAACATTTTACCAGTACATTATTTTGAATTTAGTTTTAAGTCATTTTTGAGATACTACAGTATTTTAAAATTTTAATTAGGAATTGAAGTTTTTTAGTTTTATGCATTGAAAGTCATCATTCTCACCTTTTATGGTTTGTGTCTTAGACTGAACACTTCGAAAGGATTTTGCTACTTCAAAATCAGTAAACTATTTACCTACACTTTTGTCATGTCTTATTGATTTTATTTTTCATTTATTTCTACATTTATCTCTTCTGTTCTTTAAAACTTTGCTCTGGTCTCTGGTATGAGATCTAGGAGATAATTCAATTTCTTCCTCTTACCAATTACTTGAAATTTCTCTTTTATCACATACTTGACACATATTTATTTAGATCCATTTCTGAGATTTCCTTTTCATGTTCTTAAGTTTTGTGATGTTAGTCTATCATTCTACACTTTTAATTATTATAGCTCTATAATATATTAGAATATATAAATGAATGATTCTCTCTTCATTTTTAAATCCTGGTCAAATTTTTGTCTAATTATTTTTATACATAATATTTAAAATTATTTTGTAAACTTCTAAGATTGATTAGAATTTTGACTGGTACTTCCAACAGAGGACATAATGCCACTCCTTACTGTGGTAAAAAACAAACAAAAAAAACCCCCTATAACATGATATCTGTTCTCTTAAATTTTTAAGTGTACAGTATAGTATTGTTAGCCATGTGTATTATTGTACAGATCTCTAGAACTTCTTCATCTTACGTGACTGAAACGCCGTATCCTCAATTCTCCATTTCCCCATTCCCGCATCATTCATTCTACTTTCTGTTCCTTTCAGTTTGACTACTTTAGATACTTATTTAAGTGGAATCATGCAGTATTTGCCCTTCTGTGACTGGATTATATTGACTTAGCATAATACCTTCAAGGCTGACCCCATGTTGCAGCATACGACAGAATTTATTTCTTCTTTATGGTTGAATAATATTCCCTAGTACATATACGCATTTTCTTTACCTATTCATCTATTGACAGACATTTAGATTTGTTTCCAAATCTTAGCGATTGTGAACAATGTTTCAATGAATATGAGAGGGAAAATGTCTCTTTGAGATCCTGGTTTCAATTCTTTTGGATAAATACCCAGAAGTGAGATTGTCTGATCATATGGTAGTTCTATTTTTAATTTTTTGAAGAAACTCCCTACTGTTTTCCATAGCAGCTCCACCATTTTATATTCCCACTGATGGTGCTAACTGGTTCCATTTTTTCTACATCCTTGTCAACACTTGCTATTTTCCATGTGGTAGGGTTTTGGTTTTAGTTTTTATTAACAGCCATCCTAAAAGGCATGATGGGCTATCTCACTGTGGTTTTGATTTGCATTTCCCTGGATGATTAGTGATGTTGGCACCTGTTGGCTATTTGTTTGTCTTATTTGGAGAAATGTCTATTCAAGCCCATTACCCAATTTTTAAAATTGGGTTTTTCTTTTCTTCAGTCTGTTTTTAAATTTTTATGGCTTTCAGTAAAATTACGTGAATGTATTCACAAAGGTCTGTACTTGTCTGGTTAAGTCTGTAACACATATATTGGTAATGTTACTGGGAGACTTTTTCCCAAAAAATCTTTAAATTTATTATTTCCAGAGAGGAGTAATGAGAAAAAAAGGAAGTTTTATAAAAAGGCTAGAGACAAAGATACTTTCAGTGAGGGAGAACATCAGAAGTAAAAACACATTAGTAAGAAAGCACAGGGTGTGTGTGGAAAACATCAGGTCTTGAGTTGGATCACAGAATACGTGTAGAGGGAAAGTAATAAAAGCAAGGTTGTAAAAGATTGGAATTAAATTCGTAGAGTCCTAATTCACTTGAAAATGGGGAGCCACTTCTGTTTTGAGTAGAAAAGCAATAGGATCAGAGCTGTGTAAAGAGGGTGTGGGATGGCTTAGAGTGGTAGAACCTCGAAATAGAGAGCTGAGCTGGAAAGCAAGTGAAATTCTCCAAGTGAGTGGTCTTAAAACCTGGGTAAGCTGGGGTCGGCAGGAAAACAAAACAAAAAACAAAACAGGGAAGGACATCAGAAACAACTCAGTGGAAGGACAGAGAGTAGCCAGAGAAGGACAAGGTTTCATGCCTTAATAGCCAAAAACTATCAAAAACTACGATATTCTTAACAGAAATCAGGGAAAAGTTTGGGGGGCGGGGAAACGATGAGCCTGGCTGTAGGTATATTGAAAATAGTTAGATAAGCCCACCAGGAGGGTAGAAGAAAGTATTATGGAGTTCATCAGTGCCTCACTTGTCTTCTGGATGAAACTGCAGGCCTATTGAAAGGCCCTGAGATCTCTACTATTCTTCCCTCGATGCTTAGGAACAATTATGCTTACATGGATGGTTAAGCAGAAGTCCTGACAGCATTTACTTTGAGACTTTTACTATTCATATCGATTGCTATATTTCTTAACATCTTACAACAATACCTTTTTCTTCTCAAAATTACAACTCCTTGTTCTCAATTTAACAAGAAGGAATAAAATAGAAAATTCTGCTCAGATGGACTCACACAGAAATGTTTATTTCTAATTGCAAATGCCCTCTAAGCAGAAAAGATGGATTTTTCAAATTCTACATCTTCAGTCTGTTCATAGATTCATTACTGATAAAATATTGGGTATTACTGAGTCTTACTTTCCTAAATTTTGCTTTGCATCATCAGAATACAGTTTCAATTATAACCAATTACTGAGCGGATCTAGATTTCACAGAGAACCTCACAATCTGGCCATAAAGCACTGAGGCAGCTAGGGGTCTCTCTGAAGCTGTGTTATAGTCGATTGAGACTCAGTAGATTTACACCACTGAATAATGCTTCTCTTCATAAGTCAACTAAACTCTCTTGGTTTCAGTGTGCTCATCTGTAAACCACGCTGGAGAGCTCTCATATTCTATGTTGGGCTTGCAGTTCGTTCATCCATCTATCCATCATCCAACTTATGAATGTCAACAATGAGTAAGAGGTGAAACTTTTCCACGTAATACCATTTCTTACCTGATCATAGTAACGCAGGTAATACTTAACAACGTAGTCCACCAGATTAATCCCATTATCCTAGGTTTAAAAGAGAAATGTACATGAAAATCATTCCCATGAGACTGTCATGTTACACGGTTGAGAGGTGAAATCTCAGTTGAGAAATTTCTAATTCGTGAAAACTGGCTTTCTCTTCGATGCTGGCAAGGTTTTCCTTCCTCTGCTTTATCCCATCCATTTATTATGCTGGCTACATAAAGAAATGACACTGTACTATCCTTTGTGGGGAAAAACAAACAGATAATCCATAAAACTTCTGAAATAATGGCTAAAACAAACAAAAAAGTTGTGTCCTTGTATTTTCTGGCACACAGCCAAGACAGGAGGTGCGGGGAATGCTAAAGGGAACCAGGGCCTAGAACAGAAAAGCACCCTCCCTGCCCGTCTTTCAAAAAATGTGCGTTCTTAATGGTGTGAAAAACAATCCAGGCCAGCTTAAAAGGAGCACCACACCACTTTATGACCCCGGGAGGCCAGTGGGGAGCAGGCCCTCCCACAAGGCAGCCTTTGTGTCCTGCTCACTGGGGCCTAATTCTAATTTGCCTGTGTGTTTCCCCTCCCTGCACCCCCCTGCCCCCCATGGGACGCCTAGCTATGGGCTGATTGTTTCTAAAGAGGTAGCGCCACAGGGGTGTGGAGCCAAGTGATAATCAGGCTCAGAGAGCTTGACAGTAGACCCCAGCCCAATTGTTGTGGCAAAAAATTGGTGATTCAACATTGCTCTGCCATTCAGGAATGAGTAAACTACTAGTAGCCAACACTAAACTCAAACAGCCTCCAGCCTTTGCAGGATCCTGGTACTGTATGCTATCTGTTTTGTTCTCTCACTGAGTAGCAGTTCAATACCTGATTGTGTATGTCAGAGCACACGAAGATGGGAATTGAGTAATTGAAAATAAAGTCTAACGTGAAAAAAAAAAACCAAACAAAACTCTTTATTCGAAAGTGAAAAGAAAGCAAACAAAAAAATGCATGCTCTAATATAAATGTTGTTAAGGGGAGGATAGAGATAAATGGAACAATCTGGAATACGTTTTTTAAAATTAAAGGTAAAGAAAGAAAATAATGGCAGATCATGGGAACTTATTATGAAAAATAAATACCCGACTTTTGACATCCTTGAGTTTGGGCAGAATTTCTAAGCTATATCCATCGGCTTGTCCCCGAGTCCTATTTCCTCCATTCATATAATTTCCAAAAGCCAAGATGAGAGCTAAAATATCCTTCACGCTCTTCACGTGCAGCAAGTCCTGTGATGGCAAACACCAGTTATTACGGAGCTGAACTCCAAATGCACCCATGTTCATTCAGTAACAAATATCGACTGTGTACTCAATAGGCTGTCGGGAGGCTTGGTACCAACAGAATTAACAGTTGCTGAAATGAAAAACACACTTTACTAAGCCATGAGTGTCTTTACAAACACATTAACAGCCATTATTTTCTACCCACTCAAATTAATTATAAACAGTGCATGTTTTAATACATGAGGATTAACTATTGGTTTTATATTTTCATTTGAGCCAGTTTAATTTTTAATACTTATTTTAAAGTAGAAGTTGTAAAAAGGGAGTTGGTATATATAGTAAGGCTTAACCTTTGATGACTTCTAGGTAGAAAGGGGTTTACCTTTTGAGGATGTATTTCAGGACTATTTATCTAGATAACCAATACAGTTAAATGCAGAGCAGATACAGAAGAAGTATGTTCTTCTTTATCCCCGGATATAATTTTCAGAGCTAAACTACAATAATGCATTTTAAGGCTGTAGGCCATCTTTAATAAATTTATTAAACTTACTTTATTAAGTGCTTGTTGTATTGTCTATTAACTTTTACAATTTCAAGCTGCTTAGGATTTTCTTTGTCTCCCTGTCTCATTTGTTTGTCCTTTTATTTATTTTTTACTTCAAGTACAATTTTCCAATTGAAATTTTTTTTCTTTATGGTCTTAATTCACATTTTATCCCCCTTTATTTCAGGGTAAAAAAAGTAATGGCTGGGCACGGTGGCTCACGCCTGTAATCCCAGCACGTTGGGAGGCCGAGGCAGGTGGATTGCCTGAGGTCTGGAGTTCAAGACCAGCCTGGCCAACATGGTAAAACCCCATCTCTACTAAAAATACAAAAACTAGCTGGGCGTGATGGCAGGCACCTGTAATCCCAGCTACCTGGGAGGCTGAGGCAGGAGAATCGCTTGAGCCCTTGAGGCAGAGGTTGCAATGAGCCGAGATCACGCTACTGCACTCCAGCCTGGGCAAGAAGAATGAGACTCCGTCTCAAAAAAAAAGAAAGAAAGAAAGAAAGAAAAAAAATTCAGCTCCAGGCAGACTTCTTTTTCTGCTCCTGCCTTTCAGGTATTATTAGTGCGTGTATAATTATATTTCAGTAATATTTATTCTCTACTGAAATATCTCATATCTTAGAGGAAAAAAAATCATTTCTCCAAATAAGGAACAAAGTACTACAGTATTTGTGGAGAAGAATAACGTGTCCTTAAGAGCATGGGTCAACTGTGAGAAAAAGGCAGGTGCTAGAATTTAACCTTATAATGAACACCAGTGTAGTAAAGCCAACAAATATTTCTTTGCCAATGACTCACTGTCAGTCATTTATTTCACTTATCAAGTCTCTAGGATCCTCTTATTAGGTTGACACATTTCAGATGATCAAATGTATGGATCTCAAGCAAAATCTCTTCTGCAATCCAAATTGTAAAATAAGAAACAGACCATGCTATTTAGATTGGTTTTTAGTGGCCAGTATGTACTTTGGAAGATACTCAGAATTTTTTAGAAGGAATCTGTAAAAGTGTCATTTTTTTCCCTCCTTCTCCCTCTTCATCCATCTGCATCTCCTTTTCTCTCCCTCTCTCTCATACACACACACACGGGCAAGATAATCATCAAATTTACACTTAGAAAAACATACAATCTGAGTCCAAAAAGGTTTCTATAATGGCATTAAAGTGGTCTCTCCCACTTTCTTCTTTACTCTTCAGAGCAAGGCTATCTTTTAAATTAGACAGTAAACATACCTTAGAAGCTCGCGTGATGATCTCTACCTTTCTGTGCAAGGAGGTGATACCCTCAGAAAAGACAGATCTGAAGATTATGCACTGGGCACGTTCAGCAAAATTAGGAATCTGGGCTAACTCATGTAAAAATCTGTAAAAAAGAAAATGTGTCATCTACCTTCACATATAATCACAAGGAAAATAAAAAGACAGCTGAAAAAGACCCACTTTGGGAACATTCCTTACCTAACAATCTCAACAATTATAAAAGGTGTCACATAGGTAGACTCAAGGAATTCCAAGGGCATGGTTTCCATTGTTGACAACAGGGCTGTTTTTTAAAGGAGTTCTAGCATGATGAATAAATGCATGGTATAGAAATTCCTTCGGGAACAGAAAGTTAACACAAGTATACTAAACAAGTTATCTATCTCCTGCTGCCCAAACAAGAGACTAAACCCAAATGGAAAGCCCCAGTCTTTAACACACGAGAAAAATTATGCAATAAACTCCCTCATAATGCAGCATTCTCTAAAGGTGTATTTATACAGGCTAAGCAAACTGAAGACTTGAGGCAAATGTCTACAGACAAGTGATTTAAAAAAAAATCTCTTACTAAAGTGATATTGCTACTATTTTTGCTCAGTGAGTTACATAATGGTCTATAATGATCACATTCTCCAGATATTTGTTTACTTTTTCACATTAACTTACACACATAGACATAGTTTACAACTCAGTATTTAGAACAAAGCAGGCACTCATTAAGTAGACAACCTAAAGTTTCCTTAAAAATGTGGCAAGACAGATCTTAAAAGCTAAAGGTGAGTACTGACCTACACACAGTAGCTCACTGTCTGAGTGGTTGGGCACTTGTTCCCTTTGCAAAACTAAGTTGGAAAGAGCGACATACTCTCCAGGCCAACCACCAGAGGAAGGGGTATAAATGAAAATGGGTGGAAACAGTTGGACATGAATTCAGAAAAGGAGAAAATCTACTAACAGCCATTTATTTCATTTTGGTGTTGAGATGATGATTAACTGATATTTCTGAAAGTCTTGGTCAACTCATAACGTCATTACCAAGGAATTTTGCCATCTCTCACCAAAAATGGTTTTACATAGGAACAAAGCTGAAGCCTACTTCTTTCTATACCGAAAGATATTTTCTTTGCTTATACACCCTGTGCTGCCTCTACCTTTAGGGAGATTTGGGTTTTAATTAATTTCTAACATCAATTGATTTCGTATTTATTCCACGACTAGGTCATAATCCACAATCTTTTTTTAGATGACATTTAATGAAAGCAAGGAATATCCATAAGAGAAAACACAATCTTGTTTTAAAGTTCAATAACCCATTATTATGAAAATTATCTGATGAAGTATAAAAGTAGAAATTCATAGGAATTCTGCATTAGGACAAGATGAAAAAGTTAAACTCTGTGTAAATTACTTCTTAATGAATATTAAACAATTTATTCATTTATCATGACTGAAATCAGGGGTATCATCAGTCTTTATAAATACATAAGAAGCAAAAAGCTCACAAGACTGACAGCATTTGATCCTGTAATGAGTCTGGGGAAGACGTATTTATTCAGATGCTGAGCTATTCTGAAAGAAGGGCCCTGCATTTCTCCCCTTCTAAATGTGACCCATGAGGCGTCATTCAGGACCCAAGTTCCCAGAGCATGTACACTTCCTATCACAGTGAGCGAAGCAGTTACAGACACCACCTGGGAAAATATACAGATCAATGCCTCGGCTCACCAAAAAGGACTTAGATGAAAAGCAGAAAATGCTGAATGAATAGTTACCTATAACTAATCTCAAAAGAGGAAGCATAGGACCAATATGAGGCGACAAGACCATAGTCTTATCAATGTATGTTACGCAAGAAAGGGTAGGATAGAATTGCAAGGCTCTCTAGGATTAAAGCCTTTCTGGGGTTAGGGCTTGCACTGGAAAAGCTCTTAAAGAATCTTAAATGTTCCAATGTCCTCTTTAAGCAGAAGGGTCTGCAACCCATACGAAGAGTTGGAGGGGGGAGAAAAGATCATAATTTTACATTACTTTTGGAAAGACTTGAAAATTCATACTAGAAGATCAGTCACCAAGAATGTCAGTCTGTCCTTTAGGAATGTATGAGGCATTTACAGTGTGTCAGGGACCATGCGAAGATCTGAGAACAGAGCTTAATCTACAGTCCCATCTTGATAATCTGAGAAGTAAACCAACAATTACTGTGGAGTGTGAATGAGTGCTCTCGGTGATGGATCCAGAAGAGGAGCTAGGAAAGCAAATGCAGGACACTCAAGTGTCATGGGGGGAACATTGTCAGCTAGGGTCCCCGGAGCCCTGTGATGCTCACGCACAACATGTGAGAAACTGCCGGGAGAGCCCAGATAGGCTGAATGGTATCTGTGGGGGAAGTGAGTAGAAGGCAGATGCTAAAATTGTGTTCTGTATTCTAAAATACAGGGTTTAAACTTCTGAACGAATGAAGGGTTCTAAACAGGAAGGTGACAGTTTCTGCTTTTTGTTGTAGAAAATCTCCATGGCAGCAGCTCAGCTGATTGGATGGGAGAGGAAATTTGAGGCTGGGAGACCTCCTAGACCACAGCTGTAATCTTCCAAGAGGAAAGGTAAGAGGGGCTTGCAGTGTGAATGGAGAGGGGCAAATGGATGAGGAAGCTGCTAAGGTAACAAGACCCAGAGCAACCTACTCCTAAGAGATGTTGTGAAGAGTCCAGGATGACTTTGCAGTTTTGGCGTGGATATTGGGTATAGCGAAAATACAAAATAATAAAGAAGCAAATTTGGAGGAAAAAAATAGAGTTTTATGACCCTTGCCATCCAAAAACAGCCATGCAAGGAGCACCATAGCTCCTCTCTTATTTATCTGCTAAGCTACCAGAGGTATGGGTTACTTTGAAGGCTGTGAAGCAAGCATCTGACAAATAGCTTCTCTTCCCCTGCCCTGCCCCATTACTGTTTTATCCTCTACCCACAAGAGCAAACACAGTAACTCTCTTAAATATTCCCAAGCATGGGATCTTGGACACTGGGCCTTGGTACTTCTGAATATTTATGGATTGAGTTCCTTTTGGGCTAGTCTAACTTTACATTCTAGGTTCAGTAAGAAAGAAGACTAAATATTCCCAAAAGAAGCCACAAATGAGGGATCCTTCCCTTCTTTCTCCAATGTAGGCTAATACTTCTAGGAAGGACTGCAACTTCAGCTTCTAATATATGAAAGACGTTCTGTGTCTCACATTATTTGGGTTACACATCTACAGCAGCAACTCAGCTGACGGGTGGAATGAAGCAATGTGGCTCATGTTTTTAAGAGACTAACATTTGATTTATTATCCCTAAATTTCTGAATGGTATCACCTAAGGTGTATGTGCACATAGGCGATACACATAGCATAACTGAATGTTGCAACCTGCATTCTTCGATGGAGGATTACACTAACAGAGTCTACTGTGTGGGGGCCCCAAGGCAGCTGTGGACCTTCATGAAAATCACAATAGACTGTGTATAGTGTTCTCACCCTAGGCCATGAGAAGTGTGTACCAGGCCTAATCAAACCCAGTAGAGCCTCACCTCACAACCATTACCCGGCAGCATAAGAGTCAACGGCCATCCCTAGAGGGAGTGGTTCTCAGACAGCCTGGTCCCAAACAGATGACACCTCTGTGGGCAATGGCTTTCTAAATCTGGCACTGGAGTGTAAGAGAGTTGATGAGGTGAGTGATGAGGCCAGCCTCTCCATGCTCTGATTTATAGGACTGGGCACCACAGGGCTCTTAGGAAACTGCAACGTTAAAACTATAAATGATTCATATTTTCCAGTATGTAAAACATGCTTATAGTCGACTCACTTGGAGTTAATGGCAAATAAGTTGCCAGAGAATCAGAGTGGCATAAATCAAACAAATGCTGGTTTGTGCAGGAGGTTGGTAGCAAAGGTGAAATGCACCCAGGTCTGAAGGCCCCCATCTATCCGTGCCTCACCCTCCCGCAACTGAGCCCAGGCAAGTCACCTCACCAGCACAGCATGACAGTCCTTTTTGCTGGGTTTGCGTGTTCACGAAGCCATTACAATGACCATTTATAAACATTAAAAATGCTTTTCTATCTAGATCATCAGTAGAGAAAACAAGAGTAAGTTGTGTGTTAATTACCTGCTACCATTATCTAAGTCCCGGCAATTAGAACAATAATTAGGACAGTAGCAGAAACGCATGATCTCTCCCTGCCTGTTCATTTCACCGGATCAGCCATTCCCATAGCTTAGAACAAGGGCTGCTCGGTGGTTAAGGGGTTGGCAAATTGCAGCCCACAGGCCAAAACCAGGCCACCACTTGTTTTTGTATGGCCCATGAATTAAAAGAACGATGTTTACGTTTCTAAATTGTTGAAAAAAGAGTCAACAGAAGGACAACATTTTATGACATGTAAAAATGACATGAAATTCAAATTTCAGTGTTCATAAGTAAAATGTCATTGGGGCACAGCGATACCCATTTGTTTATATACTGCCTGTGGTTGCTTTGGCACAGCAATGGCTGACTTGAATATTTGTAACATCCCGTAAGCCACAAAGCCTAAAAGACTTACTATCTAGTCCTTTACAGGAAAGGTTTGCCAACTCCAGGCTTAGAGGAGAATATTACTGTGTAACTTGGTATAACCAGCACTACCCAAGTGCTTTGATATGCCCACTGTGCCCCAATACAACCAAATGGCCTTTTCAGTGTTGAAACAGCCCATTATTAATCACTTTACTTTCAGTCATTAGCACCGTAAGAGGGATTCATTTGTTATAATAGGAAATATGACTTGGAAATAAACTATAGGATCAGTTGAGGGTAGGGATTGGTAAGGAAGGTGTCTCAAGTCAGTGGAACAAGACAGCAAGGGAACCTCACTTGACTTGATTCACAATATTCCTAGGCTTTAGAAACCTACTTTGAGGGGGGATCCTGGACCATGCTCCATGTGAGAGCAAGTCATCCAAGGTTCCCAGAACCATCATGTAGGTTTGTCGTCAACTGAGTAAACCCAGAATTCTCTTCCCAACTCCCATCCTCAGCCATTTAAGATGTTTTCCTGAGTCTAAATGTCCAGGCATCCATGGGGACTGAGGTATTCTAGAGCAGCTGTGCCCAACCTTTTTAGCACAGGGACCGGTTTCGAGGAAGACAATTTTTCCACAGGCCAGGGGTTGGGGTTGGAGGTGGGATGGTTTCAAGATGATTCAAGCACATTACATTTATTGTGCACTTTATTTCCATTATTATTACATTGTAACATACAATGATATAATTATACAACTCACCATAATCTAGGATTAGTGGGAGCCCTGATGGTCCCTCTAGCTTCCTGCAACTAGATGGTCCCATCTGGGGGTGATGGGAGACAGTGACAGATAATCATTAGATTCTCATAAGGAGCGTGCAACCTGGATCGCTCACATGCGCAGTTCACAATAGGGTTTGTGCTCCTATGAGAATCTGATGCTGCTGCTGATCTGACAGGAGGCGGAGCTCAGGTGGTAATGCCGGCTTGTCTCTCACTCACCTCCTGCTGTGTGGCCTGGTTCCTAACAGGCCATGGGCTGGTACCAGTCTGTGGCCCAGGGGTTGGGGACCCGTTTCTAGAGGACCCAAGGGACAAGGCATGGAACTCCAGTGCAAGCCGGAGAACCTTGGAAGTTTCTAGGGCTGACTGGTAACCCTGATCTGATAGCTCCATTTCTGCTTCATTTTCTACACTTGCCTCATCTCTAGATTGAGAGGGTTGGCCTGAACTGGACAAAAAAAATTCAAGGTAGCAACAGGCAAAAGAGGCCCTCTGAACCTGTGTCAGAGGACACAGGTCCTCTGAACCCATTTTACAGTCTCACAGAGTCCTAAGCCCTGGAAAGCTGGGCAGGGTCGTGGGGCTGCAGAGCCCCGGGAGCTTATCTATGGCTTCGAGACCCCAAGAGTCACTCAGTTACACCCCGGAGTTCTGGGTCTTCAAAGCCTATGGAACGGCATCACAAACAACAGAGCAAGCAGCCATAGATAGTGACTGGAGAGAAAAACAAGCATGTACAGAGTGAGGGTGAGAAAAAGCCACATTTGGGCAGAGCAGGTGGAGAAGTTTGGGGAAAAGCTAGCACATTCAGGCTGCACTTACTGGATATGACCTTTAGGAAAATAAACTTGAATTCTGTGACTCTGATATCATCTTTTTAACTTCATCAAGAGAACCTTAAACAGAACAATGCCTTCTTCCTTCCTCAGTTACCCTTTTGGTCAAATTGTTTAGTCTAGGAGGAATTAACAAGTTGCTAGAAAAAGAAAGGGGAGTCTCTTGGGGTGGGGGAGGGGGGTGAGACACACTGTATCCAACAGCACAAATCTCAGCGCTGCTTTTCCCGGCAGCAGGGTCATCCTGCTGCATGCAACAGGTCACAGGAATGACGGTGTTGTGATTTAGCTGGCTGCACATTTAGATTTGGTTATTCTGAGCTGGGAGACAAGAAGACAGAAATTGCAGTTCTCCTTTTGGCCTAACAGAAAAATGTTAAGTATCCTTACTGCTCAGGTTTATCCAGCAGCTTCAGTTCTTCTTCTTTGGATGTCTCGTAATACTTTCTTATTTTAACCAGCTCATCCTCTTGGGCTCTCTGTATCAAAATAGAAAACAAAACCAAAAAAAAAAAAAAAAAAAAGGGAAGTGAGACTCTGGCTATGGCAGTGGGTCTCAAAGTCTCGAAGTGTGGTTCCTAGACTAGCAGCATCAACAACATCACCTGTCACTTGTCAGAAATGCAAATTATTGGCCCACCCTAGACACAAGAACTTGGGGTGTGGGTGGGGGTGGGGGGATGCAAGCCCACTGGGTGATTCTGATGCATGCTCAAGTTTGAGATTCAATGCAAATGGACCTAACAAGTACACGCAGCTGGACACAGAAGTACAGCTATTTGAGCTCTACTTTTGAATCCCCCATCTCTTCCTCTGTAAGGAGGCTGGGGGAATATTGTTCTTAGAATTTGTTTCCTTACTCTTAGAACAGCCCTAAATTATATGAACTCGCAGCTCTTTCATTTCTAGTCAACAACGTCCCTTTTTCCAAATTTCGTAAGCACTCATTGTCTGTACCACTTATTTTGGCATTGAGTCACTTACTTTCTCAATTTATCCAACTATTTCAGTTGAATGAAGCTTATCTCTACTGTGAGCTAACAAGCGGCAACCATGTGCTTAGTCCTGAGCTCATGGTAACAACACAAAGCATCTGGAAGGTACTGCCTTTGACAAAGTTCTTTAACATGAACCACTGTATCCTCATTTTACAGATTATTCCACTGAGGCTTGTACTAAGCAACTGTTAAAGAGCTTCAGACTTGGAACTCCCTCTTTCTGCCTCTATACCTTGCTGACCTCCAAGTATTCAAGTGCATAATTAGCTCCCAATGGCCTGGTATTTGTGTACTTTCTGGTTTATTAACGAAAGCTTTACTAGTGGAAACGTGAGAAGTTCCGACCCACTTGTACTAAGTAGCTCCTGATACATATAAAGATGTGAAAATGAGCAAGGAATTGGTGATGCCACCAAGCCTAGACTATTAGACTATGGAAATCTTCTGTAAGAAACTTAAGGTCCCAGGGGACATAAATATGAAACGAATCATCTTTTGAACTGGTGACCACAGTACACTATAGAGCCCTAGACAGCTTCCTGGGAAATACCATTACTTAAGAGAATGTGGTTCAATCTATGTTTTTGTAGCCTAACAGTCAGTGAACCAAAACAATGAACAATCATGGGAATTCTGACTCTCCTGTGTTGTCTTCTCAAGAGAGCCTGACAATTCTGCTGGTTATGTCCACTTAAAACCCAAATCAAAAACCTTATATGTGTACAGTCCTGTTGACTTTCAAAATACATTGCTACTGCTACATATATTAAATCCTCATTTGACTAAAAAAAAAAAATCAGAGCCTACTATAATCCCCGCTATACTGATGATCACAACGGGATTAAGAAGTTTAAGTAACTAGCCCAAGGTCACTTAGCAGGCAATGGTAGACACAGCTGGACCTCAAACCTAAGACTGTCTCATTCTAAATCCAAAACACATACCTACCATTCTACACACCTTCCCACATTCAATATCATCAACTCATTTGGACTAAGAGTAATCATCCAAGCTGGTATTAGCAGTCCCATTCTTCAGAAGTAGACACCAGTGCACGCTATCATTTCAGTAGGCAGCTTACCTTCATTCACTTGGCCAGCAAGTGACAGGACTGGGTTCCAGGGCACGTAAATGGTGTCCACCTGAGATGCCCTGCCTTGCAAGTGTGCAATGAGATCTGCTAGCCCAGATACCACAGTGGGAGTCAGGAATCTAGTGCTTCTCACATCCACTCCCATTCAAGCTTGTGTTTCTATGCCTTAATCTCTTCCAGGCCACGTCAAAACCCTTACTACCAAAGAACATGAACAGCTCAGTCATTTCTCAGGTAGAAGATAAATATGGAAATACTAGCTCTGTAAGTCTTTGACACTCACGTTTTCATATAAGGCTGCCAGGGTCTCCAGATCAACCACGGAGTCATCCACATTGAAAATGGCTGCCAAGCACCCAAAAAGAAAAGAGGATAAGGGATTTGATTAGGTCCCCTGCACCAATGTTTACTCCACATCCAGCTTCCAAGCAATTAACAGAGTATTGCGTTTTCTTACACAAGCTGTGCCTCTCTGCTCCCCTTCCTTTCGCACCAGGGGTCTCAAATGAAAGAAACCAAAATGGTTCCTATCATTGGCCTGAGCCTTGGCTCTGCCTTGTTTAATTCCTCAGGCTCTGAGTCCTTTCTGCAGTTTAATTTAGGCTCCACAGGAGAAGTGTTTGTGCTTTAAAACTAAATCAGTTTGTAGGTTTGAAGCACAATTTTAAATCTTTCTTCCCGATGGTAATTGAAGAGATTTAGTACCTAATGCACCAGAACTGACTCTTGCCCATTACCAGAAAGAAAGAGAGAAAAAAGACAATGTTGGCAAATTAAATGAATTCAGGCATGTGATTTCAGGCACCTTTCCGTGGCCACTGCCAACATCTTGTTTGGATTAAAAAGACAAGAAAAAACAATAATTGCATCAATAGCAAATTAAGATTATGGAAACCTCCCATGAGCCAGTCTTCAGGCAGGCTCTCATTCCCATGGCTTTATTAGGATTCTACTTGTTCTGTATTATTTAAGATTAATTTAGCCGTTAACTAATATGCTTATGATTTCATCTAGAGAGGTACCTTCCCATAGATACTGGGATGCAAAAATTGAGACTTAAAATCCTTAATGGATTTGGCTATCGAAGTGTTTGAAATAAGCAGGTCCACATCTTTAAATAATTATTCAAAACTAATAAGGTTTGTTCCCTCAACCCTACCTCCCTTCCCTGACTTTACATTGTGAAATTAACCAGCACGCTAGTAAATTTTCTCCGTGGCAGGCTAATTAATTTTATTAAACCAACCAGTGATACTTAGAATGCCTTAAAATTTTGCTCGTCAACTATTTATTCTGTTCATTTGCATTACACCATGGTTTTTGGGAAGGTGGGGACCAAGGTAAGGGGCAGGTTGTTTTTGAGGTATTTTGCTTCTTCTGTGGTTTAGAATCACATGAACCCTTTCATACAATTTTAACAAAGCTAAAATTAACTGAGCTAAGATCATGGAACCTCACAGAACAGCAAGAAATGTACTTAAAATTCCTTTGCAGGCCACCTTCTCAAACTTAGGGGTTAATCAGCAAGCTATTCCTAGATACATGGAACAGAGAGAAAAGAGGAGGTTAATATGCTAGAGTCAAAGTAAGTCACCTCAGATTCCACCAAGACAAAGGAACATCACACATCCACAAAGGCCAATGTGAAACCAGTAAAGAAAAATGCAGTTTAAGGACAGAAAGAAAGGATTTGTCCTCTCAAGACTGTTATTTTGTGTGTGGAGATCACATAAATCCACTAATTTGTCAGACACAACAGGCATTTTTAAATGTCTAGTGCGTTGAAAACCAAAATAGCCAGAAACAATGTCTATTTTATGTAAATCTCAGTATTCTCTCACAAAAATCAACCAACATGAGCGCATAAGAAAAGGTCAAATTCTAAACAATAATCTACCAAAAATGTTTACATGTTAACTAATCATGCATCCTGGGTAACTATATATTACAAGCTTAGATATAATCAAATAATCTTAACTAATGAGAAAGAGAATGACCTGTGAGTTTCTTTTCCTAGTAAGTAAATACTCAGTTTTTAAAAGTTAATCAGTCTGGGGCCCAGGCACACAGTTCCTCAGATGGTATTGTCAGCTGTGCCCCTTCCAGTGTGTTCAGTAGCAGAAAAATAACACCCAGAGAGGTTGGGACTGAGAACAACCATGGGCTCTGAAGACATGGATTCATTCATTCCTCCATCCAGCCCTTGAATAAGTATTTGTTGGATGTGTACAGGATCTGTTCTAAATACTGTGGATTTTTAAGTTAGAAGTGCAAAGTACTTAATTAATCTCATGAAATTTATATCCCAGTCTGGGGACAGAAAATAAACAAGTAAATACATAATTTCAGATAACAATTTACTATGAAGAAAGTAAAACAGAGAAATGTACAACATTAGACAGAAGGCTCAAGGAAGGCTTCTTTGGGAGGTGACATTTAAGAGAAGACCTGCAGAGATCAGTTTTGTGGCTATCTTGGAGAATAACGTCCCAGGGAGAGGTAACTGCAAAGACAAGTTTCTTTTTCTGAAGGAACACATTCAAGGTATAGAAAAAAAAAAATCAAGGTGACTATCATGGACAGAGCAAAATTTACTCATTGTGTGATCCTGACATGTTAAATTTTCTGAGCTTCAGCATATCTATAAAACAGCTCTAATACCACTTAGTGAAAATATTAAGTGAGGTAAGATATATGCTTAGCATAGCACGTAGAACATGGTATAAGCCCAAAATGGTATATATGAGCTATTACTATCATGATTTCAAATATATACATTGTAAATGTGTTTTAATGCTTGTTAATGCCTTATCCCCTTTAACATCTGGAAAGAGTTAGAGAAAGAAAACTACAACTACTGAGTGATTTGTGCTGTAAATGCAACCTTCCCGAATTCTTAGGTGTTTCTGATCGCGGTTACTAGGAAACCCTTCCAGTCCTTTAAAACCCCACTCAAGACCCAACTTCAGAAAGCATTATTAACAGGAAAGGTCTATGACACAGAACTCTAATTACAAAAAATAATGGATCAAGTGTCTTAAGGGAAATGCCAGGTACCTCCAAGTCTGTATTATCATATTTTTATCTATAATTTCAATATTTCTCATCAATCCATCCTTCATTGTACCAAGGTTACTTTTTAAAAACATGGATTTCAAAATTTTACTGTGATGCTTAACATACCTCCAATATCTTCCTTTAAACACTCGGCGAAGTCTAAACTCCTTGGCCTGGTTGTTAAGCTCATTCCCTGCCTCGCCTCAATTACACTTCCAAACTCATCTCCTACCATGTTCTCCATGCACCATGGGTTCCAGTCACCCTGTGTCCTTCCCCATTCCTGAACATGCCATGGCTTCCTCCCTTTCTTCATCTCTCCATGGCACAGAGGTCAAAGCCCTGGAAGGACATCCTTTGACCCTCACATCATTAAGTCCTCAATCTTTTCCTCTGCCATGGTACCTCTCTCATATTTTACATAAGGTGAAGATGGTATACTTTAAGAATCTGTGGTATGTTGCATAACTGTTTCCTTCTCCCAGTAGACTGTGAAAGCCTTGCAGTCAGCAGTTGATTTCTTAAGCATCTTGATAACTGTCTCCCAGCATGGTACCAGGGGTGTAGCATGTATAACATAGATGTTTGTGGGTATAATTATACCATACGACTCCTGAAGACTGAGTCCTGCTGATGGGAGGAAAAGCTTCTTGACAAAGAGAACATAGGGTCTTAAAAAGAAACCAGAGAGCCTCTAAAGGGGCACAGCCTTATAAGGCATGTATCTGAATCATGGTTGTTTGCTTCTTCCCAATTTGACCCTGTCCAAAAATCAAGGTTTGGCCAGCAGTTACATAATTGTGCCCCCAACTCACACACTCGGTGTAGATTATACCGCTTGCCTGAATACTCCCTAACAAAAATAATTAACTTCAAAGATGAGTTTTCTCATTATTAGGGAATGAATAAGGAAAATATCTTTCCTTATTCAAAAAAGTTTTAAATAGCTGTATCTCCTTAGGAAAAATGTTGAGTAAAAGTTCAACTATTATATTGCTTTAGGCAGACACTGAAAACACTAATCTATTAATCACCAATAATTAAGCTAAATTCATCCATGCAATGACAATTTGTAAGTATGCAATACGTGCCAGTGAACGTAAACTGGAAGGATACAAAACATTCCAGCTAGAAGCAGCAGATAATAGGCTCACAAAATGTTTAGGCAATGGCAGGTAGTTCAATTTTGGTTTGAAGAGAGACTTAATTAAAGGGACTAGAAAGATACACTCCAAACATAGTTTGGGGTAAAACCTTGTAGAATTTTGAATGCCACGATGAACCTGTAATACACTTGTTATACAGGAGAGAGCTGTTGAGCAGTTATGAATGGAGGAGTAAATTGGACAAAATTATATTACACACACAAAAAGTCAAAATTTGAAAAGACTAATTTAGAATCTATTGTAATGGGCAAGAGGTAGCAAAAACTTGAATAGTGTGGACAGAAAGGATAGGGCAAAAAAGAAAGACACTACAGAGCACTATTATAGTGACATTGCTAACTAGCTCTGGGGACTTAGCCTGAAACCACTCTGAGGCTTTGAGCCTAGGTTTAGGGGAAGAGCTTTGTACCATCCCCCCAGAAACAGGCAGAGGAGTCTAAGAGGTGAGCATGACTACTGATCTGTCCCCCAGGGACTGGGAAAGGAATGGAGTAGAGAGGAAAGGACAGGTAAAAGAAGTAGATAAACAGATGAACTTAGGGCCAATGCCAAGTATTCCACTGAAGTTTCTCCTCTTCCACGGAAGGATCTTAAAAATAAAATCTAAAAAGTAAAAGAAAATTCAGAGGTAGCAGAAGCAATATCAAGAGATTGATACTGAGCCTAGAACTTATGGAGATTAAATTAGTTGTATTATTTCTAATAATATTGGCCTGGGAAGGTTAGGGTATCAGCCAGAAGTCTGAAAAATAAAAAGGCCTACCAAGTCCTAGGATGCCTAAGAGAACTGCCTTACATGTACATAATCCCATGTCTTAGTCACCAAATATAGTTTAGGTTCCTAGAGAGCCAGAATCCACACCTGATAATTCTATTCTCAAAATACTGGAACAACGTATTAGAGAATCAATGAATGCTCTCCGATTAAGTCATTCTTGCAAGCACTTACCATTAAACTTATTAGCCATTACATAAGCCCAATTAATTAGTTAACTAATTTGTAATCATAATGATCACAATGTGGAAAGAAGTCAGTCTTCAACTAAACTATTTTCGGCGTCACCCAAGATCAGATCGCTCCCTCCATTTTATACTTTGAAAACACTCACTTTCTGTCTCTGTCTCTTCCACGCATGTGTGTGCACACAGGCACACCGCTCATAAACTGAACCAACAAATACAAGCCTATGCAATTTTACAGCAAGCCTCAAAGCTCTGATACAGTAATTCCAAGTAATCCTACTTTTGTTTCCATCTGTATAGGTCTCATTATACTAACACTCCTGCAGATGGTGTCAGAAAGGTGAAGTGTCAAGTCCACAAAGGGGAGACCCCAACAGCTCATTGCTACTGCAATATCAATCACTGCTGGTGGTTTTTACTTTTATCTCCTTCCCTCCTTAGTTGTCCCACTCACACTGTCAGTTCGGTTAGAATATTTCACCTACACCTCACAATATGTCAAAAGGAAGTAGACACACGCTGTGAAAAGCTGGTAATTTTATTAGATTCCTTTACCTTTAAAAATCTGTTACTTGGTCAAGTCTGGTTTCTGGGCTTCTTTTTTGCAGGGAAATTGAGGCAAACATTTTTATGTGGTCCTCTGGTGCCTGCTCTGTACCACAAGAATTATATACACAAGGATCATTAGAGTAGTGTTTCGCCCATTAAGATATAATAACCGTCAGCAGGGACAAAAAGCAGATCAGTATCACAAATTCAAACTAACAGGCACACATAAAAACTATGTGCCTGCTTTAGGGCACATGCAAGGGGTCAGGGTCTCATACAACAGGGAAAATTCCCCCTCCGGGTAAGAGATGGCTTTTCACAAGACCAGGGTTAAGTAGAAAGAACATGCAGGATTCTCTCAGCTCTCCAGCCATTTTTCAACCCTGAACACTTCTCTCTCCAAGTGTACCATGCCCATATAAACAAAGAATGCACTTGCTGTTCGAAGGGCTTCTAATGAGTAAAAAGACAGGCAGAGTTATTTAAGGGAGTTGTTCTCTTTGACTGAGGGAGCACCTCTGAGCAAGAAGCATGGGACACGGTGGTGAGAAAGGCATACCTTGTATAGTCTGTTAAGATTAGCCAAAGTAAATCTGGTCATCCGAAGTGTGGGAGATGCCACAGGTAGGTAGGGTTGGGTTGGCTCACCAGGTTTCGGCTGACGGTGGTTTTGAGAATGATTTGTACGTAGCCTGTTTTATTCTTCTTTTTATTTCCTTAAGTGACTGATGTAAGCCTCTTGCACAAAGCGGGTATGTAATAATGTTTTGCAAATGGACTAGATATAGTCTGGTCCAGCCCAGGAAAGCAAAGTTTGATAGGATTACTTGACTCTATTAGCAGAAATTATTTTGTTTACAATGTTAACTCTGCAACAGCCAAAATAAAACTTAGCTGCTTTGCCCAAAATACTGGTATTTTTCAGAACTCGACAGAAATTCAATCAGTAAGAGAAAGAGAACAGAGCAGGGAAAGAAATATAGAAGGACTTGGTTTTTTGAAACTCTCATGTCACCTATATCCCACAAAACTCTGACAAACCTACTCCGTGACCTCTACAAAGGCAACGATAACATGGGGTTCATGGGAAGAGGCAGTAGTACAATCTGAGAGTTGAGGAAAGGGAAGGCAGAAACATCTTCCCACAGTTTTCCCTCCCAACAATGAGGTCATCCTTGAGAGCAAACACCAAGTCTATGAAAAAAACTGCAAGAAGTGGAAAGAAGGGGAGCCAGTAGAGAGGGGTGTGGAGCGTGGAAGGACCACTCGGAGGCAAGGCCAGGGGACCGTACAGATCTGCTCCCGCTGAAGAGCTCTGTAACAAGCCTCTTCAAAATGGTCATAGTTCTCCTACAACCTATACCTTGTGTTTCTCCTACTGGACACTAGGTTCCACCTCCAATAAGCACCAGGCCTACCTGTGCAAACCCAGATATGCACAAATCCTCACTCTATGCAAGTATCCAAATGAGACGCTTAAGGGCACCAATTAAGTAGCAGCTTAAAAGAATCTCTGTCCACTCCACCACAGGGTGAGGACAGCAGGCAGACTTTATTGGGGATTAATACTTAATAACTGATAGAATTTATTGGCAGCTTCCTCTGTACCAGGCATTGTTCTAAGTGTTTTGTATTTAATCATATGAGGCGGGTGCGTTTGTTGTTTCTAGTTTTACAGATGATGAAACTAAGGCACAAAGTCACACTGCTTGGTTTCCCAAGCTCAATTCGACAACCACCCCAACTATCCTCCAAGGCAGTGGTAATTTACTGGACAAAGATTGTACTTCATTTTCATAGATGTCAGGCTATAAATAATCATTCCACTTAAAATCCTTACCATCTAAAAAAAGTTTCAATGAATTAACCAATTAAGAACAAACTACCCACAAAAGGCTACAAAGAAACCAGGGTCTCTAAATGGCATCATATGCTTTTTACATTGATCAGCAATCCCAGAGTGGGAAGCACATACAGCCCATGTTATGAAAATTTCATTTATTTAGTATATACATTCATAGTTCCACCATTATTTAATTCATGCTAATACATGGTTCACTTCTAATACGCTATTGCAACATATGCAATGAAATGATTAAGCTTTAATCTTTGTTACAAACTATTTGCAGTTCTTCAAAAATAATCAATATTGCAGCTAAGGCACAGCAGACAGAATTTCTTTAAAAAAAAAAGAAACCTGGAACTTGAAAATACCTTACCTTAAATAAGAAGAAAATAAAATCTCTAGTAACATAAAGTCTAATTTTCTTGAGTATATAACAATAATTGTAATTTTACACTGCATGCCAAAACTGACTAACAAGGAAAACTAAGGCACACAGCACACGAAGAAACACAAACAAAAGTTGCATCCAAACAGATAAAAAAAAAATCAAGAGACTATAGTATAGTTTATAATCTTATCTAAATTGCTAAATGCCTGCTATTGTGTCATGTTAACCTGGGCTCTGATGGAGTAAGAGACAAGTATAAAACACACAGTGAACAGGAGCTGCCTGGGTGGTGGAAGAAATGGACAATCGCAAAAGGGATACTTATCTAATCTATTACAAAACTTCAAAATCACTCAATCTCATAAAGCAAAAATCCAAATTGTCTCCTAAGTCCAGGCATGTACTATGCCTCAAGTTGCCCAAGGTCTCCTTTTACAGGCGCAATTAAGATTGTCCATGGTTCAAACCTCAAAGAAGGGCACAGGGCATAGAATTCACAAAACTTCCCCTTCTATATCCCCTCTATTCTCCAGAGGGCAGTGGAATGAGAAACAGTTTGGGTTAAGCTGCTTCTGTTCGTCCATTAGTTCTGGTTCTTTTAAGCCAAAATTACATTCCAGGCAGATTGGATGGTCTCAGCCAGTTGCCTGAAGGTAAAGTACAAAGAAATGCCACCCTCTGCTTTCTGGACTCAGCTCTGCGAGTGAAGGAATGCAGAATGGTTTAGAAAGGGTAGGTGGGAGCCCCGCTGCTTAGGTGTTTTAGACACAGCAGGAAGGAGGAAAAGGTGGAAAAGGAAAGGAAAATATTAGAGTGACTACTTATATTTATCTAACATTTTAAAAAATTTAGCTCTACCTATATTTAATAAGTTAATTGAAACTGCCCATTTATTTAGTCTGTATGTCAGCAGGTCAGGGTCACATGGCACTTTTGGTGGATAAACTCTTTCAGACGTGGCATGCTCACTTGTTCCTTTGCTTTCAACATATTGTGATGGGGGGGGTATTAAATGAAGTTTTCTTATTCTAAAATCTGGTTTTAACTAAACTTCACAAAATAAACAAGTTGGCTTCAAAAGCCTCCTGCAGTGAAACCCCAGATTTAAGATAATCCATCAACAATAGGAAAATGGTAGAGCAGACACTTTGGTTGCTAGTACAAACTCTTCATCAGTTATGGAAGTGGGTAAAAACAAGGATAGCCAAATGGCACCCGCCAAGAAGTTGATCCCCATAAACAGAATTTATCACTAAGGCTACTTAAAATGTGGGTTTAACTTCATTACTGTTAATAATGAGACTCATTGTAATCGCATATTGAGCCTTGAGATATCAGGCTCATAAGAACCCAAAGCCATCAAAATTAGCAAGACATTTAAAAATATTACTAATCTTATTTTAATTCATATTTTTTGCATATATTTTATAACATGCATATTAGTTATGTCCTACACTTATATTTTAGAAAATAGACCTTGAGAAACATGCACTCAAACTTTTTACTGTTGGGGTGCACGATAAAAAAATTCTGAAGACCAAAAGCCTTTTGAGTAGACACTCTTCTAGGCTAGACTGAGATTGTTCCTCAGGAAAGTCCTAGATAAGTTATGTTGGATTTCAGATGCCTGGTCAAATTCATTACGTTTTAGACAACTTGCATAAACTTTGACAAAGATTTCTGGCAATTATTAAGGCAAAAGGAAACAAGGTCCAGCGGGCATTCTCAGACCTGGGTTTTAGACTCTGAGCACATAGCTGACATCCCTTTTGTACACTTTGAACTGAGATTCCCAAACAGAAAGAAAGCCAATGTTGCAGCTGATCTCTCAAACTGACGTTCTGAACTAGTAAGAACTAAATAAAGGATGTTTTATCTTGATGTTATTTAAATATTATAAATATTAATTCTGCGTGTATGGGAAATTCCAAATGAATGCCAGGAGGTTTCTGGCATCTAGTCTGTTGCAATGCATATGAACGTTTATATCAAGAATAGTCAACAGCAATTTTCTATCTCCCCTGGGACAAGAATAAGAGGAACTCACTAACATGGAATGAAAACACTAATTTGCAATCATGTAGGCAGTCACTGTGACCAAGGATGCCAAATGCTTTTAAATATAAGTCATCCTATCTAGCAGATGGAAAACCAGCAGTAAGTAGATTACTTATTCAGAGTCTCTCCTGGACCAAATGCAAGTGCTTTTGGTATTATGGTCACCCTCCTGAAACCATTCTTCCTCTACAACCAAGGCTTTTCCTTTAGTGATTCAGTGTTTTCACTTCAGCCAGCATATGGATTTGGCTTTCTTTTACAAGACATCAAACACTATCTTGGGTAGAAATAAAGGGATAAAGGTTACTTTTGGGAGTATGTTATGTCTAACCTAGCCCTATCCGCTTACCACTAGCACAAAGGTAGATTTTTAGATGCTCACCGAACACTTTAGCTGAGATGTTTCCACTCATCTCACACTCAAATCATCCAAAACAGAATTTACCTTTATGCTTCAAGCCCTGCGTCTGCACCTGTGTTTTCAGTTTCTGGCTTGGGGCACCATTATACACATTCCTGCTGAAGCCAGAAACCCAAGGTACAGCCAAAAGTCTTCTGTATTACTCCTTGCATCTGATGTGAGCAACCGTAGCAATTCTCTCTCCAAATATCCCTCATACGTGGTCTCTTCTCTACATTTCTATAGACATAGCTTCAGTTCTGACCTTTGTCATTTATCATCTGAACAAACACAATCCCTTCTAAAGGATTTCTCCACCTTCAGTCCTATTTTTCTTTATTCATTCAACAGGCACTTCATGATCATCACCTGGGTGCCAGACACAGGTGCAAGGTGCTGGGGATACATCAGTGAGCAGTCTCCTTCTCAGAGCTTATATTCTCGTGGTAGATGTAAATAAAAACATAAGTAGATGAACAAATAAAATATTAGTTGCTGTGAAGGAAATAAGAGTATTAAATTAGGATGACCTGTATTAGGGTGGGAGGACCTAGGCAGGCTCTCCTAGGAGGTGACATTTAAGCTGAAACCTAAAGAAAAACACCTAGCTACATAGAGAGTGGGGTGGAAAAGCGTTTCAAACAGAGGGAGCGTGCAGAACTGTTCATTCAAAATGTGTTGTGCATGCAATGACAAAGAGTAAGAAAAGTACTTGGCCTCTGTAAGAAATCAAAGACCACTGTAGTTGGCTAGAGTGCAGTGAGATGAGATGCAGGTGGGACAAAGTGAAATAAGAGATCTATGTTTTGGCCAAGCATGGAAAACATTAGAGGCCAGTCTTCCATGAACAGTGTGATAGATATTGCTGCATTCAAAATCAGATCACAACATGGCCCTTCTTAGATTTCTTGTCCCCATTACTGATGCAATAATATAAACATTTCTTGTGATGCTATTCATGATCTTCCTGGTCTGGATGCTGCTTGTGTTTCTTGCCTTCTACCTTAAAACAACCCACATTCATATATACAATCTATATACTCCAGCTGTGTCTTTTTTTTCTTTTTTTTTTTTTCGAGATAAGAGTCTTGCTCTGTTGCCCAGGCTGGAGTACAGTGGCGTGATCTCGGCAACCTCCACCTCCTACGCTCAAGCAATTCTCCCACCTCAGCCTCCCAAGTAGCTGGGATTACAAGTTTGTGCCACCACCATGCCTGGCTAATTTTTGTGTTTTTTGTAGAGATGGGGTTTCGCCATGTTGGCCAGGTTGGTCTCGAACTCCTGGGCTCAAGCAATCCACCTGCCTTGGCCTCCCGAAGTCAGGGATTACATGTCTGTTTTTCACGTTTTGTTTCATGCTCTTTCCTCAATTGGAAAAGCTCCATCTCTGTGTGATGACCACTATTTCATCCTCTCAGACTTAATCTTAACTTTTACAGGAAGAGTCAAGATACTGCTCTGTTATTTCATAGCCAATTCTACTATAATGTTGGGCTGCTTTACATCTCTCCCACCATCCTGGGTGTGCCTGAGGATGTTAGAGCCTGATCTTATGTGCTGTTGTAGTCATGACACCTGATGCGGAGCTGGCACTCTATACAGTTTTATGGAAGGAAAGAAGGCAGGCAAGCAGGCAGTTTTGTCCAAGTGCACTGGAATAGAATACATGGCATTCTGATCCTATCTAGTTTAAGATTAAGTCTGTATTTTTTAAAAATTGAATTAAATTCAACGAACACTTGAATATATGACTTTTATGCATGACACATTAGCCCAGTTATTTGCAAACAATGCTTAATCACCATAGAAATTCCTGGCAAAGAAATGCATAAAGGAATGAACACTAGCCCTGCTCCTTGTTACCTGTCAGATGTTAAGGTATAGAGAAGCAAAACTCTTCCTGAATGGAGAGTGTAGGCTGTGTTAAGGAGAGCACAGAGAAGTGCTCCTCTTACAAAAGAAGAAGAGAAGATTGCTCTTCAACAGCCAAACCAGTAAAAGCCACATGATCTATTTGTGGGAGACAATTGCAGACTGAAACACACAAAACTGTTATCAAGGTGACAAAGCTGCAATCTCAGAAAAATTGAAATGTCATTGCCATTTGGAAAATTGGAATGCCTGAAGCTATCCAGAAGGCCTGTAAGTACTTCTATTCCTATCAACTTAATGGTAGAGTTTTCCAAGAATCACGTACTGTATTTTGTCTCTAAACCTGTTTATGCCTGTTTCTTTGCATTCAAAAAGATATTTACCGTGTGCTTATTATGCATATGCCGAAACAGAGTGATGGAAATGACATTTTAATGGGGAAAATGGCAGGTAGAGGCAAATGATGTGGAGAAAACAATCAATAAATGTGACAATTTTTTTTGTTGTTGTTGTAAGAAGGAATACTCTCCTCTAAGTGAATATACTGGCTTGCTGGTTTATACATCAGCTTCTTGTGAGTTTGGAAAGTATGAGTTAATCCCTCTGGGCTTTGTGCATGGCTAAAGGTGAATATACGACCACAGGGCTGAAGAACACCCTCTGAATTGTCATTTCACCAGGGCTGGTCGGCTGTGAGATCTTGCCAGGCGGCCAGCTGGCCTCCTCCAGTCATATCTAACCATAGCCCCTCTCACATTAAAATAAACTTTTTAGGCCAACATCAGCACAGGGAGTCCTTTCACCAGGGTGACAACACAAGGCCAAGTACATTCCACACACAAATTCAGAATGAAATATAACTGATACAGCCTGGGCTCCTAATGACCTTCAGATGCCAGTGTCAGTCAATGACTCCAAAGGAAAACTAACCTCCAGTTATAGCGCCATATTCATCTGGAATGCATTACTAAACGAAGAAATGGAATGGAGATGATTTTTTAGAACTTAGGAGCCAACTTTGTGGTGGATCACAGAGGTGCTTGAGGAAGGAAAACGAACAATAAAGTTCCCACAAGGACTAGAAGTCTGTGATGCTACAGTCAACATTCGGACGCTGAAATGAAAGTTCACGTACGCTTCACAGAAGCATGTTCTTATCTAGAGTATAACATTGGAAAAGGTCTGGATCGACAAATATCTTTTCAAACTCACAGTAAACATTCAATCTAATAAGGCTAGAATGCCATGGGAAAGTTTACAGTCCTGAGCTGGTAACTGGACTATCACATGGCTGGAATGACTTCTATCCATGGGGAAATCTGACGCACTGCAGTAGGACATGCTTAAAACAAACGGAATATAGTCTAAGGTTATATGGACATTGTGAAAACTCACATCCACAGCGTTACACATCATGGTGATGAAATCAAGCACACTTGAGTTTCACCAGGCTCATGGAGACCACTGTCAAGACCGTTCTGTGATACCTGAAGAATCCCTAACTTCAATAACTGCTTCAAAACAGTCAGTCCTTTACCAAAAGACTATAAACTCCCCTGAAAACATTTGTTTTTGTTTTTCTTTTTTTCCCTCTGCTCTAACATCACATTCTTCTGATGTGAATTTTTCAGAAACTCAATTCTTCTGGAAGATCTAACTTGAGATTCTTCTAAAGTCCCTGAAGAATCCCATTCTAATTTCAATGACAGGCCTATTTAGCCACCCTCTGCCAAACTCACTGTATCTGAGGTTTCATATTCACACTTATGTATTCAGCTCTGTTAATGAGCTTAAATACGATACAGCTTATCTGAATGCTCTGTGATTATCATTTAAGATGTTTTAGTTTTTTGTGGAATTTTTAATTTTTGTAATGTAGCGAAATTTTAAGTCCCTAACAATGCTCCCTTGAATGGAAAAGTAGCAGGTGATGTGAAAGTAACTTAAGTGTCTTGTAGGTCAGGACCTATGGGTATTCTGCTGAGTAGCAAAGTCAAACAACTAAACAACATGAACTGAAACCTAAAGGGCCGTGTGGTGTCAGATGTTTCCACTGTGAAACTCATACTAAATTCTACTGAAACCATCTAAGAGATTGTATTATCACTCAGCAAATATAAGTGAAATGTCAATATAAAGATTTACATTTGCTGGGCATAGTGGCTCACGCCTGTAATCCCAGCACTTTGGGAGGCCAAGGCGGGTGGATGATCTGAGGTCAGGAGTTCGAGACCAGTCTGACCAACATGGAGAAGCCCCATCTCTACTTAAAAAATTAGCTGTATGTTATGGCGTATGCCTGTAATCCCAGGTACTTGGGAGGCTGAGGCAGGAGAATCACTTGAATCCGGGAGGCAGAGGTTGCGGTGAGCCGAGATCACGCCACTGCACTCCAGCCTGGGCAATAAGAGCAAAACTCCGTCTCAAAACAAACCAAACCAAAAACCAAAAAAACCCCCAAAGATTTACATTTAATTAATTAGTGAGAAAGGGGAGTATTGTTTTCATGCGAGACACAGATTTTGAAAAGGTATCATGTGTTCTGGTCTACTTTTCTAGATACTAATAAAAAATATGTGCACACAAAATCTCTTCTCTTTAAATGTCTTTTATCTAAAATTGAGCCAAAGATAACCAAATAGAAATAACAACATTTTGAAAACGAAAGGATGAAGAAACAATGACGTAACCAAATGAAGGAAAGTATTCCTCCCTAGAAGTATTCCAGCTAATAAAGAAGAAATGATGGAATTAGTACATCATTATTTTGAAAACTTCTATTGAAATAATAAATCCAGGCAAAGATAATAAGTGCTCACTAACATCACAGATAACTAAATATTATGCACTTCTTGATAGAAAACATAATAGCATCTATGATGTATTCTTCCACTCAGATTAAGTCTCTAGATCAGACAGTTTATAGAAAACAGGGGACAGGGGAACATGATAAATAAAAACATAGCAGCATCATCAGCAAAACCTAAAATGTGGGGAAGTCTACAAGACAAGTGACCTGGTTTCTTCAACAAGTAAATTACAAAAGGGGAAAAAATGGAGGGTAGAAACTTCTAGATTAAAATAAACTTGAGAGACACGTCAAAGGCAATGCATGGAATTTGTCTGGATCCTCATTTAAACTAACTATAAATGAATGGATGAATTAATGAGTATACAAACAACAGGGACATTAGAACCACTTATGTGATGATACTGAGTAACTACGATTAATGTCTTTGAAGGAAGGATAATGGCACTGGGTGGAGTATTGTTTGGAAAAGTACCCCTGGGCCGGGCGCAGTGGCTCATGCCTGTAATCTCAGTACTTTGGGAGGCCAAGGTGGGCAGATTGCATGAGCCCAGGAGTTTGAGACCAGCCTGGGCAACATGGCAAAACCCCACCTGTAAAACAAATAAATAAATAAAGTATCCTTATTTTTTAGCAATAGTACTAACATTTTTAACAGATGACTTATAAAGCATCTGAAATTTGCTTCATAACCTACTTGGTGAGAGGGGGGCATTTTCAGATAAAACAAGAGTGAGTTGATGGTTCTGTAGCTGAGTATTGGGTATATAGGATTCATTAGGGCATTCTAACTTTGTATGTGTTTGACATTCTTCAGAATGAAATGTTTTTTAAAAAATGGAAAAAGTAAAACAAAAGTGATAGAAAAGACTTACCCTGTTGGATATCCTTCATTTCTAAATGTAAACTAGATATCAAGATTCCCACAGTTTGAGATCGTTTTCCATCCAACAATTTGATGATCTAAAATTAGAAAAAAAAAAAAAAGAATACAAGCTCAAATGACCATGCAGTCTTTCAGGACGCACACCAAAAACATTAAATTTTTTTAGATACACTGATTGATGAACTAAATTGATGCTGCATGCACTCTTTAAATAATACTTAATTGGGAAGTAACTTATGCACAATTATAGACATCTTACACAATGACAGACGTTTTACAAAACAAACACACAAAATTCCATCAGCCTAATACAAACGCTAAATCTTTATATGTTACTGTGATCATTTTACTCAAGTACAAAGTTATACCAGCATCAAGATGTACAGAATGTGGTATCCATCTTTTTCACTTATCACTGGAATATTTTCATGTTGCTACTGGTGAAGTCACTTCATAGCCTCCAATCTTTTTAGTAATGTCATCTTCTGAGTGATTTAGGGGAAAAAGCATGAACAGCTGAGTCAGCCACCAGTGATATGGCCTTGGTAAAGTGATAACCTCTATGAATTGATTTCCTCATCATGAAGGGCTGACTATATTTAGTCTATATTTTATTTTGAGAGAAGGTCTAGCTCTGTCACCTAGGCTGGAGTGCAGTGGTGTGATCAGAGTTTGTCTCAGCCTTGACCTCCTGGGTTTAAGTGATTCTCCTGCCTCAGCCTTCAGAGTAGCTGGGATCACAGGCAGGCGCCACCACACCCAGCTAATTTTTAAATTTTTTTATAGAGACAAGGTCTCCATAAAAACTTCATTGCCCAGGCTGATCTGATCCCAAACCCTAAATTCAAGTGATTCTTCCATTTCAGCCTTCCAAAGTGCTGGGGTTACAGGCATTAGTCATTGCACCTGGCCTATACATTTATTTTAGAAATTAAATGACTATATGAAAAGCACTTAATATAGTTCTTGACATATATTTATTTAAAGATTTTCTGTTTCAGAGAGGTTACTTCCTATTTGTTATTATTAATATAAACAATATAATACCTTGCACACAAAGCTCTAGTTTTAAATTAATCAATTAATTTTTGAGATAGTATCCAGCGCCGTCACACAGGCTGGAGTAGAGTGACGCAATCACAGCTCACTGTAATTTTGAACTCCTGGGCTCAAGGGATCCTTGCACCCTCACGAGTAGCAAGCACTATAGGTGCAGGCCACCATGCTTGGCTAATTTTTATTTTTTTGATGTTTTGTAGAGGTGAGGTCTCACTATATTGCCAATGCTGCTCTTACACTCCTGGGCCCAAGCCATCCTCCCACCTTGGTCTCCCAAATTATTGGGATTATAGGTGTGAGCCACCACACTTGGCCTTAAAATTATTTTTTATAATACTATGTATTTTTACAATCTTCATAGAAACTCCACATACCTCATTGCCAGTTATTTCAACCTTTATGAATATTCCATGGAGAAGTCTACATAGTTTTGTGTTTCTCTACAACTAGTAAACCAAATCAGCTCCCTGGTAACATATCACGAAGCTGCCACTAAGGGAAAAAAACTCTCTTTCCTCTCATGTGGCAGGGCTACAAAAATAAAAGAGAAGCACCCACAAAACACAAATCTTACAAATGTTTTTAATGTGCTTTGCTGGTTAAAATACAAACTAGGCTGAACAGCTGTGCTTTCCTTCCCACCTAGGTACTTACAGAATTGCCAAACTACTGTGAAGACAAGACTAAACAGTAACAAACATCTACATTTGTATTATTACTGTAATAGCTGAGTTGCTTGCTGGTTGAAAAGTAAGGGACAACAATAGTTTGTTCCAATAAAGATGATCTAACTGCCTAATTGTCTAACTACCTGTTGATTAATCGATCTTGAATCAATTATTGCCAGATATTTTTTTCCTTTACCTGTTCAGAATGGCTACTTTCATATAACGATTAGACCTAAAAGATAGTAAATACTAAGTATTAATCAAGATGTAAAGGAAAAAAATCTCATTTTTCAGTCAATATGTTTAAGCATGTCAATATTCGCCTTAGAAAGATTCTTGAGGCATACAGAATTTTAGGAGTTTTAAACAGAAATAGAGAAGGTACTCAGTAATTTTTTATATGAAAGGAAAAGCAAAAAAAAAAGGCAATTAAGCATAATACAATATCTTCCTTAAAAATGCAATTTCTGGCTTTTTCTTAGAGAACCCAAATTTAAAGTCAAATGATTTCTTCATCTAATAAAAAAATTAAGAAAAGTCAATTTAGCCATGCACCCATTCAAAAAATATTTACTGTACACGTTACATGTGCCTGGCATTGCTTTGTATTCTGGGGATGCGGAGGTGACTGAGACAGATCAAGTCGTAAGAAGTTTGCTGTAGAGTCAAAAAGGCAAATAAAAGCATCACCTAAACTAACTGGAGTGCAAATTCAAAAAGAGAAACGTTTTGGGAATTGACTAGATTTATTCTTAAGTGTCCAGGATGGTGACTGATACAACCACAACCATGGCATACACATCAATGACAAGGACACAGGAACAGGATCAAATTTATGACAAGATCACAGCTGGGTTGCAAAAGTTTCTTCAAATGAACACGCACCAAGCTATCCAGTTAGGGCTCTGAAAACTACCAGTAATACTCTGCCTACAAGAAAGGTAATGTACAAATGCACATTTCTCTGTTAGCTAATTAAAAGAAAGCAGGAGAGAAATCACGAGAGAGTAAAAGAGCAAGAAAGATATTGATTCTGTCTGTCCCTGAGTAAAATGAGGCAAATCTACCCCTCACCCCATTATACAACCAGACTTAACTGTGGAAAGGATGTTATCACCATAAGCCATGCTTGGAATTTTGTCGAATGACTTGGCACAACCAGGTATTTGCTGAGTGTTACCTTTACTGGGACTAATGCCTTAAAACGTTTTTGTTTGGAAATCTGATGCTGATTTCCTACAAAGGGGCTGGGGGCAGCTAAGCAGTGGTGAAGTTGGAGCATTTTGTATTCTCTTCCCTACCTGAACCAAATTCTCTGTCTACTTTTAAGTAAATTTTCAAAAAGATCCTTCTATGTTTCCATGTAGCCACTCTTGTGAAATACCACCAGGTTTCTCAAAACCAACTACAATGGTAGGGACACAATGCGCACAGAATGATATGTCCTAAATCCTCTTAGTCTCTTCGTCTTTTTTTTCTCCCATGGCTTTGAAGGCTTAACACTAATTTCTCTTTATTTTTATGAAAAGTGCACAACATGAAATGTATCCTATTAACAAAAATTTAAATGTATAGTACATTATTAACCACAAGCACAATGTTATACAGCAGATTTCTAGAACTTTTTCACCTTGCGTAACAGAAATTTTATACCCACAGAATAGCAGATTTCCAATTCGCCGTTGTTCCAGCCCCTGGGAACCACCATTCTACTTTCCATTCCTTTGAGTTTGACCACCACGGATACCTCATATAAGTGGAATCATGCAGCATTTATCTTTTTGTGACTAGATTATTTTCACTTAGCATAATGTCCTCAGGCCAATCCATGTTGTAGCAAATGACAAGATTTCCTTTTTTTTTTTTTGTGGTCAAGTAATATTCCACTGTATGTACACACCACGTTTTCTTTACCCATTTGCCCATCAATGGACATTTAGGTTGTCTCCATCTCTTTGCTATTGTGAATGCTGCAACATGGGAATATCTTTTCAATACAGTGACTTCAATTCTTTTGGATAAATATCCAGAAGAAAGATTAATGGATCATATGGTAGTTCTATTTTTAAATTTTTTTTTTTTTTTTTTTTTTTTTTGAGCTGGAGTCTCGTTCTGTCATCTAGGCTGGAGTGCAGAGGCTTGATCTCGCCTCACTGCAAGCTCTGCCTCCCGGGTTCACACCATTCTCCTGCCTCAGCCTCCCAAGTAGCTGGGATTACAGGTGCCTGCCACCACGCCCGGCTAATTTTTTGCATTTTTAGTAGACGGGGTTTCACCGTGTTAGCCAGAATGGTCTCTATCTCCTGACCTCATGATCTGCTCGCCTTGGCCTCCCCAAATGCTGGGATTACAGGCGTGAGCCACCGTCCCTGGTCTATTTTTAAATTTTTAAAGAACTTCATACTGTTTTCCATAGTGACTACACCATTTTACATTTCCACCAACAGTGTACAAAGGTCCCACTTTGTCTACATCCTCAAAAAAACTTGGTATTTTTCAGTTTTTTTTTTTTTGACAGTGGCCATTCTGACACGTGTGAGGGGTTATCTCATTGTGATTTTGAATTGCATTTCCCTGGTGATTAGTGATGTTGAGCATCTTTTCCTTATACATATTGGCCATTTGTATACCTTTTTTGGAGAAATGTTTGGATAAGTCTTTAGCCCATTTTTATCAGACATATGGTTTGCAAATATTTTTTCCCATTCTGTAAGTTGTCTTTTTACTCCGTTGATTGTTTCCTTTGCTGAGCAGAAGCTTTTTCATTTAACATAGTCCCCTTTGTGCATCTGTTATTTTTGCTTTTTTTGGGGGGGGGCGGTCTATGCTTTTCATGCTATATCCAGGAAACAACTGCCAAAATCAATTTTAGAGGACTTTTCCCTATTTTTTAAAAAAGTTTTATAGTTTCAAGTCTCACATTTAAGTTTCTAATCTATTTTGAGTTGATTTTTGTATATGTTCCAAGATAAGGGTCCAATTTCATTCTTTTGTGTGTGGATAGCCAGTTCTCCTAGCACTATCTGTTGGAGAGACTATCCTTTCCACATTGTACAGTCTTGGCACCCTTGTCAAAGAACATTTGCCTGTATATGCTTGGGTTTATTTCTGGGTTCTCTATTCTGTTCTATTGGCCTATAATGTCTGTCTTTATGCCAGTACCATACTGTTTTGATTACTGCAGCTTGGCAATTTGTTTTGAATTCAGAAAGTGTGAGTTCCCTAGATTTGTTCTTTCTCATGGTGGTTTTGGCTACTCAGGGTCTTCTGTGGTTCCATACAAATTTTAGGATTGTTTTTTCCTATTTCTGCAAAGCAGCCACTGGGATTTTAAGAGGAACTGCACTGAATCTGTATGTTGCTTTGGGGGAATACAGACATTCAATAATATTAATTCTTTCAATCCATAAACATGAGATGTCTTTACAGTTATTTGTGTCTTCCTAAATTTTTTTAAGCAATGTTTTATAGTTTTCAAAACTAGTCTGTACTAGTCTTTTACCCTCTTCAGTTTATTCCTAAGTATTTCATTTTTTTGGATGTTACTTTAAATGAAATTGTTTTCTTAATTTCCCTTCCAGGTAGTTAATATTTTTGTGTTATAAGAACACAACGAATTTTTGTTTGTTGATTTGGAATCCTGTAAGTTTGCTGAATGTTTTTCATAGTTCTTCACAGTTTGCTTTTTTGGGGGAATCCTTAGGGTTTTCTACATATAAGATCATATCTGTGAACACAGATAATCTTACTATTTCATTTCCAACTTTGATGCCTTTTATTTCTCTCTCTTGATTAATGTCTCTATGACTTTCAGCACTATGTTGAATAAAGTAGCATGAATGAGCATCCTTGTCTTGTTGCTGATCTTAGTGGAAATGCTTTTGGTTTTTCAACCTTGATTATAATATTAGCTTTGAACTTTTAGCATATGGTCTTTATTTCTTTCTATTCCTTCTAAAGAATATTTCCTTCTTTAGGTAATTTCCTTCTATTCCCAGTTTGATGAGTTTTTATCAGAAAACAGTGTTGAGTTTTTTCAAATGCTTTTTCTGCATCTATCAAAATATTTTTATCATTTGTTCTTTTAATGTAATATATCATATTGATAAATATTCATATGTTGAACCTTCCTTGCATTTGAGAGATAATTGACACTTGGTGATGGTATATGATCCTTTTAATGTGCTATTAAATTATGTTTACTGGGCCAGGTGCAGTGGCTCATGCCTGTAATCCCAGCACTTTGGGAGGCCGAGGTAGGCGGATCACTTGAGGTCAGGAGTTAGAGACCAGCCTGGCCAACATGGTGAAACCCCGTCTCTACTAAAAATACAAAAAATTAGCTGTGCATGGAGGCACGTGCCTGGTAGTCCCAGCTACTTGGGAGGCTGAGGCAGGAAAATCACTTGAACCCGGGAGGCCAAGGTTGCAGTGAGCTGATATTGTGCCACTGCACTCCAGCCTAGGAAACAGAGTGAGACAATTAAGTTTACTAGTACTTTGTTGAGAATTTTAACATCTATATTTGTAAGAGCTAATGACCTGTAGTTTTCTTTTCTTGTAATGTCTTTGGCTTTGGTATCAGAGTAATGCTGTTCTCATAAAATGAATTTGGAAGGGTGACCTCTTCAATTTTTTGGAAGAGTTTGAGAAGCACTGCTTCCCTGTTAATTATTCTTTAAATGTTTGGTAGAATTCTCCACTGAAGCCATCTGGTTCTGGGCTTTTCTCTGGAGGTTTTTGATTTCTAATTCAATCTCCTTACTTGTTACAGGTCTGTTCAGATTTTCCACTTCATCATGATTCAGTCCTGCTAGGTTGTACATTTCTAGGAATTGATCTATTTCTCCTAGGTTATCCAATTTTTTGGCATGTAATTGTTCATAGTAGGTTCTTATAATCCTTCCAGTTCTGTGGCATCGGTTGTAATGTCTTCTCTCTCATTTTGTATATACTTGTGTTTTCTTTTTCTCCTTAATTTAGCTAATGATTTGTCCATTTTGTTTATCTTTTCAAAAAACCAACTCGGTTGTGTTGACTATTTTCCTATTGTTTTTCTATACTCTATTTTGCTTTTTTTCTGCTGAAATCCTTATTTCATTTCTTTTACTAACTTTGGGCTTAGTTTATCCTTCTTTTTCTAGTTCCATGAAGTGTAGAGTCAGGTTGTTTATTTGAAATCTTTTTAAACATAGGTGTTCACCCTAAAACCTTACTCTTAGTACTGCTTTTATTGCATCCCATATGTTTTGGTATGTTGTATTTTTGTTTCTGTTTGTCACAAGATATTTTCCAATTTCCCTTTTGGTTTCTTCTTTGACCCACTGGTTGTTCAAAAGTGTGCTGTTTAATTTCCCTGTATGTATAATGTTTCCAGTTTTCTTCCTGCTATTATTTCTAGTTTCATGCCATTGTGGTCAGAAAAGATACATGGTATAATTCCAATTTTTAAAAATTTGTTAAGGCTTGTTTTCTGACATAACGTGTGACTTATCCTGGAGAATGTGCACTTGAGAAGAATGTGTTTCAAAACCCAATTCCTGTTGGGTGGAATGGTCTATTTCCATTATGTCCATTTGGTATATAGTGTTGCTCAAGTCCTCTGTTTCCTTATTGTTTATCTATCTTGTTACATCATTTATCAAAAGTGGGTTATTGAAATCTCCCATTGCTGTGTTGCTGTGTATTTCTCCCTTTAGTTCTGTAAAAATTTGCTTCATATATTTGGCTTGTACGTTGGGTGCACATATAACTGTTATATCTTCCTGGTGAATTGACCCTTTTATCATTAAATAGTGTCCTTCTTTTTCTTTTGTTAGAGTTTTTGACTTAAATTCTAACTATGGCCACCCTGCTGTCTTTTGGATTGTTTTTAGTTTAGCTAAGGATGTCAGTTGTTGGTTTTTTTAAATTAACTCTTGGAATATCTTTTTCCATCCCTTTTCACTTTCAGCCTGTGTCCTTGAGTCTAAAATGACTATTATAGACAGCATATAGTTCCATCTTTTTTTATCCATTTAGCAATTTTATGTCTTTTGACTGAGAAATTTTCTCTATTTGCATTTAAAGTAATTACTGAGAGGCAAGAACTTATTATTGCTAATTTGTTCATTGTTTTGTAGCTTTTGTAGTTTTGTCTTTTTCTATATTGATGACTTTTGTGTTTTGTTTCTTACAGTGACTTGCTTTGATTCTTTTCTTTTTGTTGTTGTATCTCCTATAGGCATTTTCTTTGTTGTTACTATGAGACTTACATAAAACATTTTATAGGTATAATAATCTATTTTAAGCTAATTTCAATCACATATACAAATTCTACTCTTACTTCTCCACTCCCACACTTCATGTAATTGATATAACAAATTATATTTTTTCTATTGTGTATCCATTAACGTATTTTTATAATTATATTTGTTTTTAATATCTGGCAGACATAAATTCTATACCAGAGTTAAAAGTGATTTATCCGCATCATTATAGTATTCTGTATTTATCTGTATATATACCTTTATCTACAAGCTTTGCGCTTTCATATGCTTTTGTGTTGCTATGTCATGCCCTTTTCATTTCAACTTTAAAGGCTTTCCTGTATCATTTCTTGTAAGTCTAGTGGTCATGAACACCCTACACTTTTATTTATCTACGAACATCTATTTCTCTTTTGTTTCTGAAAGACAATTTTTTTCCTTTTTTTTTTTTTTTTTTGGGTGGGGAGGACTGAGTCTCACTCTGTCACCCAGGCTGGAGTGCAATGGCGCAATCTTGGCTCACTGCAACCTCCACCTCCCAGGTTCAAGCGATTCTCCTGCCTCAGCCTCCCAAGTAGCTGAGATTATAGGCGTCCCCTGCCATGCTGGGCTAATTTTTGTATTTTTAATATAGGTGGGGTTTCACCATGTGGGCCAGGCTGGTCTCAAACTCCTGACCTCAGGTGATCCACCCGCCTCGGCCTCTCAAAGGGCTAGAATTACAGGCATGAGCCACTGTATCTGGCCAAAAGACAATTTTTCTTTTTCTTTTTTTTTTTTTGAGACACAGTCTTGCTCTGTCGCCCAGACAGAGTGCAATGGCATGATCTCCACTCACTGCAACCTCTGCCTCCTGAGTTCAAGCGATTCTCCTCCCTCAGCCTCCTGAGTACCTGAGATTACAGGCACGCACCACCATGCCTGGCTAATTTTTTGTATTTTTAGTAGAGATGGGGTTTCACCATGTTGGGAAGGCTGGTCTCAAACTCCTGACCTTGTGAGTCACCTGCCTTACCCTTCCAAAGTGCTGGGATTACAGGCGTGAGCCACTGCACCCAGCCGATAGACAGTTTTTCTAGATATAGTTTTCTTACTTGGTAATTTTCTTTCATTGCTTTGAATATATTACCCTATATCCTTCTGGTCTGCAAGTTCATGCTGAGAAATCTTCTGATAGTCTTGTTGGGGTGCCCTTATATGAGTTGCTTTTCACCTCCTGCTTTCAAAATTCTCTTTTTTGTCTTTAACTTTTGACAGTTTGATTATAATGTGCTCAGTGTGGTCTTTTGAGTTCTTGTAATCGGGATCCATCGGGATTCTTCAATCTGAATGTTTATTTCTTCCGCCAGATATCTGACCATTATTTCTTCCAATATACTTTCCTCCCTTCCTACCTTCTCCTTCTGTAACTGTCACAATGTGTCTATTGATCTGCTTGACGGTGTTCCATACATCCCTTAGACTTTCTTTACTCTTTTTTTTTTTTGAGACGGAGTCTTGCTCTGTCACCCAGGCTGGAGTGCAATGGCGTGATCTTGGCTCACTGTAACCTCTGCCTCCCAGATTCAAGCGATTCGCCTGCCTCAGCCTGCTGAATAGCTGGGATTACAGGCGTGCGCCACCCCACACAGCTAATTTTTGTTCTTTTAGTAGAGATGAGGTTTCACCACGTTGGGCATGCTGGTCTTGAACTCCTGACCTCGTGATCTGCCCACCTCAGCCTCCCAAAGTGCTGGGATTACAGGCGTGAGCCACCGGCACCTAGCCTCCTCTTCGTTTTTTTCTTTTTGCTCCTCTAAATGGATCATTTCAAACGACCTCTCTTTATCTGATTCCTCCTTCTGCTTCATTAAGTCTGCTACTGAACCCCACTAGTGAGCTTTTAAATTTGGTTATTGTATTCTTTAGCCCCAATATTTGTTTGGTTCTTCATAATATTTTCTATTTCTTTGTTGATACTGTCATTTTGTTCATGTATCTTTTTCCTGAGCTCACTGAACATCTTTATGACATTTATTTTGAATTATTTGTCAAGTAATTCATATACATCTGTGTCTTTAGGATTGGTTTGATTTCTTTTGTTCCACTGGTTGGTCCATGCTCCCCTGTTTCTTTGTGTGCTTTGTTACTTTGTGTTGGGATGTGAAAAAGAAGTCACCATTCTCATTCTTTACAGACTGATTTCATACAGTGAAAGACCTTTGCCAATCAGCCCAGCTAGTGTCTCTGGGGGATTTTCAAGCCTTTTTCTGTGGATAAATATTCTCTGGACTTACGTATGTGAATTCCCAATTAGAGGGATTTTGGTTTTTCAGGAGCTCATAATCCCTGCTCTCTCTAGTGTCTGTCTATGGTACTGCAGTTTCTCTGGAGGTATAAGCTGTCCAGCTCCTTTTTGTTCTCATCTGCCCCCAAACATCTAGAGTATGTCAAGTCCCATGAACACACAGAGTCAAAGAAGGAAAAGGAGAAAGGAGAAAAGAGGAGGGGGAGTGGGAGGAAGAGGAGAAGGAGGAGGAGAAAGAAGGAAGGAAGGAGAAGAAAGAAGGAAAGGAAGGAAGGAGAAGAAGAAGAAAAGAAGATGGGTGAAGATGAAGAAGAGCAAGAGGAGGAGGAAGCAGAGGAAGAAGAAAAAACAGTTCCTTGGACAACACTGTGAAAAGGTGAAACACTAGACACAAGCTCCACTCTTCTTTCCCCTGCAGTCCATGTGGGAGAAGCTGCTGAGCTGTATTGGCCTCTGTCTACTGTACTGCAGGCCACCTAGCTTTTTGTTCTCAGCAGTCTCCAGGCATCTAGAGTATGCTGTGTCCCATCAGCACTCCAAGTCGGGCAAGACAGAAATCAGTCTCTTGGGCGGCCCTCTGAAAAGCCAGAGCATTGGACGGATGCTCCGACTTTTTCCTTCTCCAAGGAGAAGCCAGGATTTGGAGGTTTACTCTCACTTACTCTGCCCTGAGCAAGGGTGAGGGGCAATTGCACTGAATGCATACTAATTCATATCATCATCTTTCTTCTCAGTGGTTCCCAACCTGGCATCTTTCCCTGTTAGCTCTTAGATTCACACACAACAGAAACCAGTCTTCAAAGTACCTCCCCAAAAGTCTGAACATTAGACATAAGATCCAGTCTTCTCTCTCCCTCCCAAAGGAGAAGCCAGGAGGTAGTTTTCTCTAAATCAATGTATTGTGCCAGAAAGGGAGTCAGATGAGTGAGTGCCATGAATTTTCCTATTAGCTTCAATACAACTGGTTTCATGCTCACCTGGGGTTTAGGAGCCTCTTAACTGATTTCTGAATTTCTCACAAAGGGAACTGGCCCGTGTATTATTAAATTGGCATCTCCATGGGGCAACAAGGATCCGGTATTTTCTATTCCACCATCTTGATGACATTACCTCCCCCTTTCCCACTTTTAGTTTCTGAGAGGCAAATGCTATGTCATCCATGGATAGAGAGAGAAGACAAAAGTGGCTGGGTTCCACCAAATATGCTCCCAGTCACAAAGTGGCTCATATGGACATGTTGGTAGTGAGAGTAAGAGCAGACTGATCTGAGACTGAGTCAGGCTTCGCTGAAAGGGGGCTGGCCTCTCCTTCATAATTGGAGGACAGTACCAAACAAACTACAAGGAAAAGAATTAGAAATGAAGGAAGAGTAACGAGAAAAAGAGTAGAAGAAACATATATTTTAAAAGATCTTCCTTAAGATATGCAAAATAACTGAAAGGAAACAAATGGAGGACAATAACACATTAGACTTGTGAACACACATAGAAATGGTTCAGTACAACCCAAGACTTTGATATACACTTAGATCTTTCTGAGATTGGTTAGAAATTGGGCTAGCAGGGTGTGAGGAGAATGTATTGGAAGTAGACAGGAGGAAAAAAGAAACTTGAAGACTATAGGAGAGAAAAAGTATACATTTTGTTGCACTTTTTTTTTTCACTGTGTAGCGTGTTTTTTTCACGTAGAAACACATTACTGACAACTTCCTTGTCAGTGCAGGCAGAGCCATTTCTAAAAACATCACATCATTTAAGTATTCCCCTACTAAAGGACAATTAGAAATCATCCAAATTTTGGCCAGGCAAGCTGTGGCTCACACCTGTAATCCCAGCAACTTGAGAGGTCGAGGTGGGTGGATCACTTGAGGCCAGGAGTTCGGGACCAGCCTGGTCAACATGATGAAACCCCATCTCTACTAAAAATACAAAAATTAGGTGGGTGTGGTGGCACACTCCCGTAATCCCAGCTCCTCGGGAGGCTGAGGCATGAGAATTGCTTGAACCCAGGAGGTGGAAGTTGCAGTGAGCCAAGATCAAGCCACTGCTCGCCAGCCTGGGTGACAGAGCAAAGACTCTGTCTGAAGAAATGTTCCAAATTTTGTCAATTGTTAAGAATGCTACAACGAACAAGCAGGCAGAGAGATCCTTAGTCATGCAAGTTTGTATTTTCATAGGACTCATAGAAATCATTCAAATAATATGCCCATTTGAAAATTTGATAAATATTTCAGAATTGTTTCTTATTAGACTTACCCTGCCAAGTATTTGAGAGCAACTGTTTTTCTGTTCCCACACCCACTTTAGGTATTACCAATTTTAAAACTGTTGGCTGAAAAACAGGTGAAATGTGTTTTCATGATTTTATTTTGCATTTTTAATGATTTTTATTAGTCACATCTTATGAATTGTCTTTATATTGTTTTTGCTATATTTTCCAATTACTAGATCTACTAGGCTGGTACAATACAAATACACTTAAATAAGGGCTTAGCTAAATAAGACGAAAAAAGATTTACAAAGAGCCTGCTGTACATAAAAGTCATTTTCAAAGGGAAGAGGGAATAGAACGACCTGTTACTACATCTCCACTAAGCACTGGTATTGTGTTCCTCTGCACATTAGCCAATCCAAATGGACAGTTGTGCACTGGGGGCAGTGAGTATTGCAATACTGTAAACCTTTATTCCTTTAGTGGCCCCCTGTGGACTTTCCAGAGTGATAACAATACTTCAGGCTCAAGAGTCCTGTAAAGTATGTATAGCTATCTCACTGCTGGGGCATTAAAGCAAGAAGCACAGCTAACCGAATTTTTACGGTAATTCATTTTTTATGTTCATTATCAAATCTTACAACCTCCTTACCCAGATATATACCCATTACCGAAGAATTTATTGCAGAGTAGTGAGGAAGAAAATATTAAGGGGAAAAAAAGACAAGAGTGAAGAAAACTGATGAAGAGAACAAGAAAAAGTGATAACAAAGATGTGGAACATGACAAAGATTTTTTTTTTAATTTGTTATCAACCAATATTACTACTTCGCTTTCTGAATGCTTTTTTAGAATCATTGTTAAGTTTCAAATAACCAGAACGTAATTTATGTTGAACCATCTATTAACTGAAAATTTCCCTAGCTTTTCTTTTGTTGGATTATATTCATTATTAGTAAGCTAACTTTTAGACAGAAAAAGTGAATTTCAAAAATTCCCCTTGGAAGAGAAAAACTATATGAAGATAAACTAATATTGGGTATTTAGTCTCCCAAATCCATTGACATCTCTTATACTGTGCTTGAAAGAAATCAAATTCAACGAATCACACCTTCCATATCTATATATTTATTTACTGAACGCTGTGGACTGGTGATCATAGTGATAATCTGGGAAATTTTTAGAATCATAAATTGCCTGAAATTATCAGATACTTAATATTCTGCTCTTTTTATGGTAGGAAATTTAATATATATATTTACATAAGCACAGATTTCAAATACAAAAGTTATAAGAAACTGATAATTAACTCAAAAACCTAATTATTAAGCACCAACCCACTCCTTAAGCTTCTGTTTGCTATTAGCATTCTGTGCTATTTTGACAATTTTTCAGTTGTTTGGCCTAAGGAAGAGGTTCCCAACAATATCACAATCTAAGTAGAAATACAAAAACTGAGAACTATAGCCATAAACTACAACAGTCCTTCCCTCTAGTTTTCAACCTTTGCCTGCTGAGCTTTCATGAATGACCTCTTGGCCAGCTGTGGAATGGGATCAACATCATGATGTAGTAAACCAGTTATTCAGAGAAAAGTCAGGAGACCAGCCTTCAGCCTTCTATTTCTAGGCCTGCCCTTGCTCGTCATTGTATCAACGCTGAAAGGCAGACAGTCCAATTCAACGGTCCTCACAATACGCAAATTCCCATGTCTACTGCAAACAAAATAAAAATTGTGTGTGTGTGTGTGTGTGTGTGTGTGTGTGTGTGTGTGTCTGTTCAATGGAGTTCAAAGACTAGTTTAAAGAGGGCAAACATATATAAATAACGGATACAGGAGCTACTCATAAGATCAGTAACTTAAAAGAGTTTGTAATTATTCTCAGGTATACGATCCTTGAAAATGCCAAGACTCTTATTTAAAAAGGGAGTTTGAAAAAGGTGGCTGTTTCTAGCACAATCTTTATCCACGTAACTCAAACACATTCCCAAAAGAATGTTACATCCAGTGCCTTTTTTTCCGAAACAAAAATCCAGATCTCACTTTTATAAAACCTCTCCATCAGAGTCTTGAGAGATGATAGGCTCTGCAGAACATGAACCCCAAAAGACACTGTAACTCATGGTCTGGGTGTCCAAACAGAAAGGACTCTTACCATTCTTCATGGCCACTAGGGTAAAGGTTCTTCCGGGCATTAAGACCCAATAGCAGCAGAGGCTTTCACAAAACCATGAGGTCAGTTTATCACATTTGATTGTTAGACGTTAGTGGGATTCCTGACTGTATTAGCATCCAGCTTCATCATATTAAAAGGAGTTAGTTAGCTTGCCTTAGGTAAATAACAAAGGAAAGGTTCCCCAAAAGCCCCGGCCCACAGGTTAGTGCCTTATCCCCACGTAACATAAAAAGCAGCCTGCGAAAAAAATCAAGCTGCAGGAACCAATAATATGAATGTCAAAATAATTATTTTCCATGTTTACGTGAAGCCAGTAGATAGAATTTATGCTTTAAGCTCCCAACTTGATTTTATTCCATGTAGGTTCTTGGGGGGAAAAGTGGCTACTACAGGCTGTTCAGGAAAGATAGTTCAGAAAACATTTACTGGAGAGTGTAAGTATTTGTAAGATTTTGCTTATCCAATGTTACTCTGGTTGAATTGGATTTTGGAGTCATTTAACACTTAGCACTGAAGAAACCTACAAATTTCATCTAATTTATCCCTCTGCCTTTGGGTTGGCCCAGAAGTCCACGTATGTAAGTATAGACCTTACTTTACAAGAATGTGCACACTTCATTATAAAGGTTACATTTAGATAATGCACACATTTATAGCCATTTTCTCTCAAACAATACAACAGAGCACTACTTCAGCTAATTGTAAATACAAATTAAACTGTTCATTCCACTCCTAGTCTATGATCCCTTATCATACTCACTTTTCATTCTTCTTTGTCCTCATATGCATATTACCTGATGTGTAATAATCCTCCAAGTCATTTTCTAGTATTAAGAGACTTTTGGCAGTGAACTATTTTACCTGATGTTTGGCTCAAATTCCTCATGCTCCCATTTTGAACCATCTTTTTCTGCTCTCAGGGAAGGTAGGAAACAGCTGGTCACCATCCCCTACACTAAGCTCCTTCAGAAACCTCAAGATCACCATTTTTTTTTAAACAAGAGATGTTTTATATCAGATTGTTAAAAATCAGTTTTTGAGGGACGTTAGCAAGCCCTCACTTTATCTCCGCCCTATCTAGAGTCAGCTGAACTTGGCAGCACATGGCTTTCTCCTAGGTATAATTACAGTCTGGAGGAGAATGCAATTTGTGCAGCATTCCACTGACCTACAAGCTGACCTTGTGCAGGGGCAAATTCACAGGTTGCGTTAAACCCTATTAGACATGCCTAGTTTAAGGCAAAGCCTTTCCAGACCCCTGCCACATGCCAGGATTAGGGCATGTCACACGTGCGTACTATTACATCGCCTAAGGGACTCTCCCAATGCCTTCCAGAGTGGGAAAGGCAGGCCCACACTGTCTAAACCTGTACATTAAGCCAGTATAGACAAATTATTATTATTCCTCACATATGTGAATTTTTTTAAAGCCTGCCTCTGTGAATAAGAATTAAGACAAAAATGGGAAGACAGATTTGCTACACTGGGAAAATCATACCTTCAACCTCAGCTAGAAAAGTTCTGCCAGACAGGCTGAGAAAGAATTCTTGTCAGGTCCAGTGGGATTTTTACATCTACAGAAAATCTGTACACTGTATATCTTCGGCTTTCTGCCTGAGCTTGGCAGACAGGGCCAAAAATAAAAATAAATGGTTCTGAATAGACCACAAGTGCTGGAAGTCTGCTCAGCCAAGTGAGTTTGGCATAGCTACAAAATTAAGAGAAACACAGAAGCCCTCTTCTTCCATGGAGCCTTCCCTGTCTGAAAGGAAGATGATTAATTTCTACATCTACACCTTTGCTAGACACCAAACACATTCATACCTATACCAGATCGAGTGCATATTTTGCTCTTTGGCTTAAGTTTCACATTTGAACATACTCAGTTCCAGTCACAGGGTTTCCATCTCCAGCACAGTCAGTTTTATCCTAGAGCCTGGCAAATAAGCAGAGAGTTTTTTCAAATACAGCCACATGTGCTATCACCAATGAATAGCTGCTGGCACTTCAGGGAACTAAGGGCATGTGAAAGTTGCTGCTTTTCCTGTCTGAATCAACTATTTCACCCCACCAAAAACAAACAAATAAATGTAGAAACCATATATATATGAGTAGACATTTACTTTCATGACAATGATATACAGGTCGAGCATCCCAAATTCAAAACTCAAGAACTCCAAAATACGAAGTATTTCAAAATCCAGAACTTTTTCAGCGCTGGTACAGTGCTCAAGGAAAATGCTCAGTGGGGTATTTCAGGTCTTGGATTTTCAGATTTGGAATGCTCAACTGGAAAATTTGAAATCTGAAACGTTTCTGGTCTCAACCATTTCAGATAAGGGATACTCGACCTGTATACCAAATATCCACATAGGGTACACGGTCAGCTATATAGAACAAGTGTGTAAATGATCTGGCCTTTCTTGGTAAGATTGAACAACAGCGTGGAGAATTCACATAAATTAGACAATCTGATTCTCCCAAGTACAATTCTAAAAAATACAACTTCTATTTTTGTGCCATCAAACTAGTGTTATCTCTTGCTTATGCTTCACATCAATACTCGCTGAATTCCACCACCTGGCCAAACTATGGACATTAAGAGGCTGGTTGGTAAAAAGTAGATATGCTACTGATGACAAGTCAGCTTGTCTTAGTAACAGTCATCCCACTTCTAAGTCATGGGCTTCCAAATAGATAAAGGTACCTTCATAATGACTGTTATGTTTCTCTTTAAGACATTCTTGTGGAGTGGGTTGGAAGACACGTAGAATCCTATGTTAGAGATGCAGAAATTGTTTCACTTATTCAAGGGCTACAGGCTCTGATGATTGCACTGATACTTTAGTTTGAATACCTCCAAATTATAAATTAGTATAGGGTCTAAACTTTAGCTGCATTAGAGAGCAGTATCTTTGTGAGATGAGAGAGAATATTAAGAAGGCCTTAGGTTTAATTTTTATTCTCATTTAACTGCCATCCAAATCAAAAAATCTTCTAAGTAATAGACATCTAATTGGGAAAACAGAGTGAGAGTTTCGCAATGGAAAGAAATTCCAAGAAGTGATGCAAAACGATGCAAGGCAATGAGGTATGGTAGCCTATGGATACAGGCCTTATGCACAGAAAAAAATCATGGGGGAACCAACTGGCAGAATCCTTTTATAGCTGTGGCTATTCTAGTCCCCTCCCTACGATTTCTAATATGGCAGTGACTACAAATGGGACAGGTAAGCAATGATTCCTCCCAGCCAGTGCCAGAAGGGAGTGCCTGGGGAAGGGGAAGGGCAGGACCACAGCCATCTTGCTTTCTCTCTTACGGGAGAATAACCGCTTCTTTGGAAATATGCAATTGTTACTTGGCAGGTGCCCAGGAGTACAATGCTGATTCAGTTTCCTTGGTCCCCTTCTTCTTCCCTGCTCCATCCCCTGCCACTCTGCCATCACACCCAGAAGAGCTGGTTGGCTGGCTGTGTAGTGCCATATTATGCAATGTCATCCGACGTGGTGCAAAACAGCTCTTGCTGCTAATGGCCAGTATGGCCTGGTAGGCCTCTGGGAAGAAGCCTCTGTCAACTGGCCTGATAATGACATTAAAATAAGCTTTCCACATACAGCTGATAATCTGTCTCATTAAATGTTTCAAGGAAAACTAAGCTTCACTGTTTAGTCAAACTGTTAGGTCTGAATCTCTTCCATGGCCTTATTTTTGGGGACACATAAAATTGCTTGGATGAAGTTTACTTTAAGGATCTAGGCTCTTCACCAAGAAATGTGAAAAGGCAAATTGTCACCCTGTCTTGAGTCTGAGAACGTATTTGGCACCCCATCCCCATCCTGACGAGACAGAAAAACCCTTTTCTTGTTTTTCAGGCTGATGAATTCCACTCAGAAGGCTAATGCGGAGGCCACAGCAGGTGAAGGCTATGACAGTGTGGGGGTGTGATGGGTTGGAGGGGGGAGGGTAGGGCTGTGGGCAGATTTCTGATTTTGTGTAATGTAGAAGACAAACCCCCAAACAAAATCACATGCTTTTTCCTATTGATCATGGAGTCTTGCGGGAAGAAAAGACCAAGAGACATCAGTGCATTCACTGCCTTCAGACAGAACCAGAGCTACCAAAGCTTGGCCCTGCGAACAGCTTTGATTTTAGACTTCTAGACTCTAGAATTATGAGACAATAAATTTTTGTTGTTTCAAGTCAACAGTTGGTGACAGTTTGTTAAATTAGCCCTAGGAAACTAATACAGGGGCTGATATTTTTATATTTCTAATAATCTTCTAGGTGATTATGTTGCTGCTGGTCCATGGACATTTTGAGGGGTGAAGTGACTCTAAATAAATGTATTATTTTGTTACTGATCATTGGCACTTAGCACGGTGCCAATACATAGATATATGTATGTTTCTATAATCCCTGATTTCCAGAGGTTTTTCCCATGAGCCCCTTTCAGAATATCAATCTCCACGGAGTCCTTTACTAAAGCTATTGTACTCATTTAGGAAGTATTGGAAGTAACTTTCTCATAGAAAGCCAATCCCAAGTATACAGACAGCCATAGTGCCCTCCTAAAACCTCTAAATAACAAAGTTTGCATGACCTTTGGACTTCCTGTCTTGTCTATATAATTTCTCATCTAATAATAAAAACTTCAACCCAGTCTCACACACGTATATCTTTGGTGGCTTAAATAGGGCTTTTTCTTTCCAACATGTTAGAGTGTTAGGCTTTTGGAAAGAACACATGCTAATAATTACGCCAAGCTGGTTAGAGATAATGGGCAACAGAAAAGTTATTATCTTCAATGTCATCATATGTCTTTGATATGATAATCATTGCATTCAAGATATCAGAAATGATGGATGGCCTTTGATTTAGAGGGTATCCACGATGCAAATTACCTGGCTCTTTCCCACTCCTGTGTAGAGGTGAAGAGCCAGCAAGAGTGAGCACCCCTAGCTGCAGTGCCTCAAGCCACTGGAAGGCAAAATCTGAGACAGAACTCCAAGGGAAACACTTCTTCCTTTAAAGATACTTAGGGCACCTCACATTTTCCTTTTGCAGACAACTTCTCGCATAGTCTTCATTTGCCGCCATTGCCATAATGTACACTACTTACAACCCAAGTCACTCCACTCTGTTAATTTTCTGGCTAACAGCTGCTGATATGTAAGTGCCATATTGCTTCCAACAGGTTCACTGAGTTCCTTCCATGAATATAAAATAAATATTCCACGAAATGTTGGTAAAAAGAGAAAGATGAAATATTACTGTATTTTAGTAGATATTTTAGAACTGCTGCAAGATTTTGTTAGGGTTTGCGGTGTTATGTCCCAGCACATTTCCCCCGTAATTAGTCTTATCCTCCTTCTTACTCTCATAGCACAGCTATCACGGGAAGCAAGTGCGTATCATACACTATCATTCAGGCTTTCAGGTGAATGGCATAACATAGTGACTGAAAAAACCTACCCACTGCCATCCATGAAGAGTGAGCGTCTACACCCATCTTGACTGGAACCATGAGCATATGCACCCAGAGGTTCTCTTAGATCAACAAGGGTGTAACACACATGGTAGATGATTTGCCCAGAGATGCCTAGATGCCTGACTTCTAGTCCTGTGGCCTCTCCCTTGAAATAATTATTCCAGCAAAGATGTACATTCCTAATTAGTCATATTGCAACAAGGGAATAGCCTTTAAGATATGAGAATCAAATTCACTTGGAATTTGGGGTGGTAAAGGCCTTTCGACTTCCTCTTCTCCTAAAAAATTAGCCCAAAATTATGAGACCTAATGATTTGAAAAATAAAATCTATCTTCCATAAAACTAGGGGAGCCCTTTAAGTTTTAAAACAGAAAATGTGAAGTTGGAGGACTGGTAAATTCCTAGGTATAGCTGTGGGAGGTAGAATGCCAGACATACACGAGTAAGAGGCATCCTGCGTTGGTGGAGACAGGAATGGTTAAGAAGCTAAATAGAAATGAATTGTTTCAAAGTCTGCATATGGAGCAACTAGGTGCATGATCTGTAATTCCATCTACTACAATCAGGTAGCATAGTTTCTTTTTATTACTGATTGGTAAGAATTC